>NC_000007.14:150215955-150367470 GCF_000001405.40 Homo sapiens
ATATTTTTGAAAATAATGGTACAAAATCCCCAAATATGGTGAAAGAATTAAAGATTCAAGATGCTTAGTGAACTCCTAGCAGGATAAATATAAAAGAACCCATGGCTAGTCACATACAAGTCACCAAACATGGAAAATCAAAGATAAGGAGATACTCTTGAAAGCAGAGAAAAGAGAAAACAGATATGAAATATAAACAATTACAACATCAGATAGAGCGAAGAATTTTAGATAAAATGGGGTCTCAAATTATAAGTAATACAAAGAATTATTTTCAGGACCTATATCCATGCTTGATGTGAAGCTTTGTCATGTAATAAATGCTTACTATATGCAAACTGTTGCATGGGGATTTTCTTAACAATTATATGAGATAATGCATACATTATATTCCCCTTTTCCAGATGTGTAAAAATAAATTAAATTATGTCCTGCATTTGTTACTTTCTACTTGTGTGATTTTTTTCTGGGGTTGTGGGGGTGAGGGTTAGAGATGCCATCTTACTGTGTTGCCGAGACTGGATTCCAACTTCAATGATCTTCTCACACTAGCCTCCTGAGTAGATAGGACCTCAGGCACACACCACCATGCCATGCCCAGCTCTATTTGTGTGATCTTTACCAAGTTACCATTTGTCTCACTGCAAAGCCCATACTCTAACAATTATCCCATCCTACTCATACCCTCTGGGACCTGCTCCTGAGGAGCTGTGTGCCTATGAGAGGCGACCATGTAAAAAGAGGCTGTTGGCCGGGCACGGTGGCTCACGCCTGTAATCCCAGCAATTTGGGAGGCCCAGGTGGGTGGATTGCTTTAGGCCAGGAGTTTGAGACCAGCCTGACCAACATGGCAAACCCCATCTCTACTAAAAATACAAAAATTACCTGGGTGTGGTGGTGCGCACCTGTAATCCTAGCTACTTAGGAGACTGAGGCAGGAGAATCGCTTGAACCTGGGAGGTGGAGGATGCAGTGAGCCAAGATCATGCCACTGCACTCTAGCCTGGCAACAGAGCGAGACTCGGTCTCAAAAAAAAAAAAAAAGAGGCTGTGGTACAAATATTTATAAAGCACATGCCTCCCCTTAATAAAAAGGGTTTTAAAGTGAAGTCGCCTTGTCCTCCCTGATTTGGGGGCTCAAAGGTAAAGTAATGCCTCATCTTGTGTGGCAGGTCCTGCTGCGAGCCCCACACATGGATTAGTTTATTGAATCCTCATGAAACTCTTACCATGAAGGTCCTATAAAACTTAGGCATGGAGGTTAAGCAACTTATCCAAAATGACACTGGTACCTTAGGATCCCAAAGTCCAAGCTTTGGACAGCTATGTCTGCTGCTTCCAGAGACTGAAGCACTGATAATACTTGTCTTGATGTCTAACGTAATACATACTGATACAAGGAAATTTCCCTTTCAGAAAAGCTCTAAGCAAAGAAACTCAATCCAAACCTTTGCTTTCTCTTCAAACCTGAGGCTGAAAGGAGAGGCCCTACTTTGGCTGGAGTTAACTACTCAACTGGGTGTCCTTACTTTCTGCTCAGAAGGTGAGTGCCATCTTCCAAAGCTAAAGTTGAACAGTCTTATGTTGGTAGTTTACATCTTCTGTAAAACTTAAGTTTGTATTCTTTGCTCAAGAATGAATACCACTTACAAGTTTCCAGGAGCCAATTCCAGAGGACTATCACTTCAGGAGGTTTCCTCTCAGGACCAGTGGCTCCTGCCTCTACTGGGGCCAACAGTGTGGTGGATTACCCTGTGATCCTCAGCAGCTGTTAGCAGGTGGTCAGGTGCCCCCATGCTCAGGAGAAAGGAGGCTGCAACAAGGACCTCTTCTTTCCAAATTCTAGGGCTTCAATAGGCAAGAATGAACCTAGCAATAAATAACACATCTAAAAGAAGGCTAACACATCTAAAAGGTGAATAACCATCTAAAAGAGACAACCAATGTTGCTCAAGAAATATCTGCACAAGAACAAATGATAAGAATTTGCCAAATGTAAATTGCTACACCAGTAATCAGTAAATGAATGAGACCAAACAAAAGTGAGTCCAGCTGGAATATTTTCCTAAGAGGCTGATGCCTTTCCTTCCACCAAAGTCGTATATGCTATATATACGATGGAAAAACAACTGTTCCAAAACATCTACTAAACTGACATTGTTGAGTTTTATATTTTATTGGAAAAATACTGTGACCTAAATGTCACATGGTCCATCCAGCACTTCCCAGTGTTGACTGTTGACTCCTGCTACCAGCTCATCCCTCATCCACTACAGAACTTTCACCAACACGTCACCTCCAATCATTTCAGTCTCTCATGTTATCGCACCACAGCAACCTACAAGACAAACTCCAAAGCTGCAAACTTTGCAGGCAAACAACAACTTAAGTGTGTTCTTCTTTGAGAAAAGGAACTGAATATTTTTTTTCCTTCTAGCTAATGGATTTCACCATCATCTCACTTTAGGCCATCAAAGATTTTAAAGAACGAAGGATAGGGTATGACTAGAACTGCATGTTGGACAGTGAAGGCAATGTCTAAGTTCATATTGCGGCTCTCCGTTCTCATATTATTGGAACTTAATAGGGGTTTACCATGTTTATTAAATGGATGATTGATGACTATTGAATTAATATGATTCATTGGAGCAAGTATTTGTTGGACACCTGATAGGTATGTAAGGTGATCCCTAACTCATGATTAACAGGTTTCCTAGTACCTTTTAAATTGTTGGTGTGTGTTCCAACACTTTCCAGAAAGTTTTATTGGTGGCAATACTCTACAGTCCAATTCTTCCAAGAAGCCACTTTAATACTGGAGCCAAAGACATTTCTTAAAGAAAATTCCTGAATGATCTTCTGAACTCCACAGATGTCTCTACTATATTATCACTGATGGGTGAAACTTTATTTTTAATTGAAAAATTTTATATCAACTACTCTGTATTAAAATACATTTCCTGTAGATATTAAGTAATGTAAATGTGAAACATATAACTACTCAAATCATAGTGAGAACAGAGATCAGAGAAATGACTTGCTGATTCAAATATTTCATCATGATCTGATAGAAGAAAATGCTTGATATTACTTACTCAGTTGAATAAAAGCATTCAACCTTAAATCCTCATCTTACATAACTCAAACAAAACAAGAATTCCTTTATCTGCCAAGTGAATCCAATATCATTACTCACTTCAACTCCGAACAAGTAGATAGTGTTTGGAGTTGATATTGTGGGCTAATACATGCCCCAAACCCCAACAAGTAGATTTTAATGGGAATATTTTTCCAATAAGAGCTAATAAATATATATGCCCTTACATAAAGTGTACACACAAAAATAGGTGTCGAAAATAAGATGACAGAGTAAAGCATAAATTCAGTCTGCATATCAAGGACTAAGCTCCACAGTGCTCGCCTTTTTTCGGTTTAAAAAAATATATAAATATTCGAAAATATTTTAAAGTTCATTGTTACATGCATTGCTGTGCGGCTTCCCTATGTAACCCGGGTAAGGAATTTCCTCGCTAATTCATCACAACCTAAGCGGAATGGCAGATAGGTGAGGCGTATTGAGCATGGCCAAGGGTGGCCGGGCCCCACAGGATCCGTGCGAAATCCGGAACCTCGCTGGCGATCTGGGTTTTTTGCGCGTGGGAGTAAACATTTCCCAAGTCCCTCACACTCTGGGCTGCTAGTGAGGTTCTGCCAGAATTCCTTAGGCCGCCGCCCACTCCCCTTTCTCTGAACGTCACTAATTTCCTGGAAATAATTCCAGGCACGCATCGCTCCATTAAAGTTAATGAAGCACGTGTCCGTGACAGCAGCCAGCGCCAGCGCCCGCGGGAGAGCCCCGCGCGCGCTTCCCGGGAAAGAGCTCCTCTGCAAGCTCTGGCCCAGGGGGGTCTGATTGTGAAAGGGGGAGGGGCTCTGCCTCCCAACGCCGACCTCTTCTCTCGAAAGCCTCGCAATCATGGGAAACAGCTGCACCTGCCAGCCCAGCCGCAAAGCAGGGTAGGATCTCCAGCCCCAGGGTGGCCGGCGGGAGCGGATGCACGGGCAGAGCCCTGCTGCTGGCCGCGGGTCTACAAAACAGCATACGTTCTCTCAACCCCTGCGATCCGCCAACCATCCTCAGTCACCGACCCCTGCAAGGGATGCAGACGCACCAGCGGCTGCTCACACTCCCTCCACAAACCTGCCGGAGTCTCCACTCGCCCGCCAACTGTAGCCTCCATCTGCGCCCCACGCCCCCGCACAAGCCCCCTCCGTCGCGGGTCTCTTACCTTGTGGCCTTTCCCCGGGGGATACCTGACGCTATTGGAGACTCCTGCGGTTTGATTCATGTCCAGAGGAAGTTGAGGGGCCCAGATTCTCTACCTTCAAAACTTCCTAGGCGCGTGGAGGGTGGCGACAGAGGTGCGCGCCTCGGGGGAGACGCGAGGTGGGTCCTCCTTCTGCAGCCGAGTCTGGGCGAGCGCGAGGGGAGCCTCCACGCTGCAGGCTTCTGTGCAGGGGCGGTAAAATCCGCAGCCCAGAGCTGGAGAAGGAGAAGCAGCTGCTGGGACCCCGGAGGGAAGCCGGGCCGGCGCCAGCGGCTCCGAGGGCGCTCTGCCCAGTGCTGCCTCCCCGGGAAACAGTTCAGGACGCTCAAGACCAGAAGCGGGAGCAAACCCAAAAGGAGCTCCAAGGAGGTGTGTGTGGGGAGAGCCAGGGGGACGCAGGACTAGGCTCTTTCCTGCGCAAGGGGTGGGGAAACCCGCGAAAGCCAGGGAGTCGCGCGCACTCACGCCCTCCCGCCACCAGGGCAGAGCCACCGCTGCAAGGAGCCCACGGGTGCGCGCTCCGCTCCAGGGCGGATCTTTCCACACCCCCCTCACCCTCAAAAGCTCAGGCTGGAGCGGTCATCAGTGCGGACTCCGGCACCCCACCCACCCAGCAGGGGTTAAGGAGGGACTGGTGCCCACTCTTGCCTACAGCTCCTGCGCAGGGCTCCAGCCGCCAAATCTTCCCGGGATGGTCGGGAGGTGGCATAAGAGGTTTTGCCAGGAACCACTGCACAGGCGAAAGAGAGACAGTGGAGTGGGCGGAGGAGGAGCTGGGACGGCACCCGGGCTCGTTAGCCCAGGCTGCACGAGCTACAGCGGAGGGATGCGAGCGCTCTGTCAGTTGAGCAGGCGCTGCGCGCGGAGGCCCGGTCGGTGCCATTGGTTGGCGGCCCAATTGGCTTGACCAGGGCGGTATTTGGGGAAGGGCAACAGAGTACATCCATTCCTTTCTGCAATAGAAGTCTCTGCAGCTTCCCAAGAGTTTTTTTTTCTTTCTTTCTTTTTCTTCGTTTCCTTCTTTTTCTTTTGGCACCTGTGAAGTCATGATCTAATTAGTCAACATTTAGACACAGGTGAAAAGAAATTGACCCCAGGGAACCAGGAAAAATCAGTCAAAAAAGAGCAGCTGCTTCATGAAGACTGCATTGCAACATTCTAGGATCACAAGTCTGAACAGGGGACCAAGGGCACGTTAGGATACAGCCATATTATTTGACAAAATGTTAAATTTTATCCAGGCAGATATAGTTGAGTTTGAATATTCTGAATGGGAATCAAACCACATAATTTGGTTTCTATTTCACCATCCCAAAATCTTGGTTTTAGCTTGTATAAATTGAAGGAAGAAGTTAGACTAATTTATGAGGACCAGAGCTGCACTTTCTTCCTCAAGTGCATTGGCTTGGTAACAGAAGTACATCCCCTTGGCCGGGCACGGTGGCTCACGCCTGTAATCCCAGCACTTTGGGAGGCCGAGGAGGGCGGATCACGAGGTCAGGAGATTGAGACCATCCTGGCTAACACAGTGAAACCCCGTCTCTACTAAAAATACAAAAACAAAATTAGCCAGGCGTGGTGGCGGGTGCCGGTAGTCCTAGCTACTCGGGAGGCTGAGGCGAGAGAATGGCGTGAACCCGGGAGGCGGATCTTGCAGTGAGCCGAGATGGCACCACTGCACTCCAGCCTGGGCAACAGAGAGAGACTCCGTCTCCAAAAAAAAAAAAAAAAAAAAGTACATCCCCTTACATTGTCCATTTAAAAGTAAAAGGGAGATTTATTTTAGTTCTTCCGTTATTTGCTGATATTCATGGTCATTTCTTTAATGTTCCCAACTCCAAGTTGGAATAATCCCCATTTTGTAAAACAAATTATTGTGTTTGGTTGCTTTTGGCTGCTGAAGACATTCAAAAGCAACTCCTGAGATGAATATGAAGGCTCAGCTTGGAGATCAGCGTAATGCAGAGCTTGGCTGTGGATGCAGATGCTGGTTGGAATCTTGGCTTTGCCGCCTCCTAGTGCACATCCTTGGGCAAATTATTTCTCTCATTTATTCTTACATTTGTAAGGTCGGTGTTATAGCTGCACCTTTCCACGTGAGGAAACTGAGGCTCAGAAATACTAATGTGCAGCAGGTGCTTCGCATAGTAGTAGGTGTTCATCAGCCGTTACTACCAACTGCCTGCAACAATTGCTAGCACTTCACATTAATTTACAGACACTATTGCTCAATTCCAATTTTCTGGCTAACAACTACTCATGCATTTATCTGTGATTACTTGTGTATTTTCCTTCTCCCACTTTGACTGTGAGCTCCATTATAGTGGAAGAGAGGGCCCTTGAGATGGATTGAAGGGAGCAGGCTGAGCAGTGGCCCTGAGAGGAGCTCATCATGATCTCGAGCTTGATGACTCACCCTCGCGTTAGGAAAGACATTTCATTAATCAAGCTTGAACACTTTGCACAGAAAAAGATAAGAAAGATGCTGTTGATGTCTAATTGATTTTATGTCACTTATGTGACAATATGTTTGACTTTGACGTAATCAGTTATGATTTAGTAAAATAACAGCAATTTTTTCTTCCATGGCACGAATAGTTTTCTTCCTGAAATTTCCTGCATTGTGAATTTGGGGTTTCACTATGTTTTCCTTTGCTTTCTTTTATGCCATCTCCTTTTTTAAAAAAATTGTGGTATAATGTATAGTAAAATGAACAGATCAGTTTTGACAGTTATGTATATTTGTATAATCCATACCCCTGTTAAGACAGGTTACATTGCCATCACCCCCCAAAGGATGTTTATTCCCGATAAACTACCCCCATAATCAACAACTGTTTGGATTTTATCACCATAGACTAGCTTTGCTTATTCTAGAATTTCAAATAAATGAAGTCATGCATTATGAACTCCCTCACTGAATGCAATGTTTATGAGGTCCATCATGTTTTTGCATGTCTCAGCAGTTCATTTTTTATTGTTAAATAATATTCTATTGTATGGATGTACCATTATTAATTTATCCATTCTCTTACAAATGATTACATGTGTTAATTCTAGTTTTCAACTATTTATGGATCAAGCTGCTTTAAATGTTCATGTACAGGGTTTTTCTTTGTGAACTCACACTTTCATTTATCATGTATTGATATGTGGAAGTGGAATTATTAGATCCTAAGGTAGATGCAGGGTTTTTTTGTTTGTTTGTTTGTTTGTTTTTAGAAACTGCCAAATCATTTCCCAAGACGTTAGTACAATTTTTAAACTCCTTAGGTATCTATTATTGCATAGCAAATAGAGATGCTACTTGACTTACAATGGAGTTACAACATGATAAACCCATCATAAGTCCAGATGTTCCTGAACTAACGAGTTACAGCATGATAAATCCATTATAAAGTCAAAAAATTGTAAATCAAAGTACAATAAGTTGGGGACCATCCATAATTTGAAAACATGAAGGTTTTAAACAAAGCACATCTATTGTCTCAGAGTTTCTGAGGATCTTGAATCCAGGCATGGCTTAGCTCTGTCCTCTGCTTCAGGGTATCTCACTAGACAGCACTCAATTTTTCATCTGGGGCTGTAGTCTCATCAGAAGGCTCTACTAGGGAAGGATCTGCTTCTAAGTTAACTCGTGTGTCTCTTGGCAGAATTCAGTTCCTCAAAGGCCTCTAGAGAGAGGGCTGCAGTTCTTTGTTGCCACTGGTCAGAGGATACTTTCATTTTCTTGCCATGTGAGTGTCACCAGCCAGTGTCATCAGGGCAAGCACTCAAGAAGAGCCAGAGAGTACAAGCAAGATGGAAATCACAATCATGTATAACCTGATCTTGGAAGTGACAGTTCACCACTTATGCTTTATTCAATTGATTAGATGCAAGTCACTAGGTTCATCCCACACTCAAGTGGAGGAGATTTTGCAAGAATGTGAATGCCAGGTGGATGGGATTGTTGGAAGCCTTGTCAGGAGCAGCCTTCCACAATCAGCCCTCTGGCCTCCAATGATTTGTGTTTCTCCCCATGTGAAATACACTCTCTTTCTTTCAAGATTGCCAAAAGTCATTCCATTACAGCATCAGCTCAAAGTCTAGAATTCTATCATCAGAAACAGTTTCATGTGTGAAGGAGGCTCCTCTGGTGTACTTCCTGTGTATAGCTTTCCTCCATGTTTAGATATGTAAAAGTTAAGAGATAAGATAGTTTCTCACATGTATTCAACATACAATGGTGGGATGGACATTAGATAACAGATGTAGGCACACCTGTTCCATAAAAAGAGAACTGGAGGACAAAGGAGTTGCTGCTCTAAAGCAATTCTGAAATCCAGCCAGGCAAAGGTTGGGATTTCCTGGCCTGAGGGAGTATTTGTCAAGTTTCTCCACAGTAAAATTACTATTATCCTTTCTCATTTGCATACTGAACTCTTTGTAAGGAGGCGTCTACATGCAGCCTACACTGAAGGAGTGAGGAGTTGTGTTCCACCTCCTTGAGGGCAGAGCGTTTGCATACATTTTTAACATTCTGCTCCACGGGAGACCTGTCTCTTCTCACCCATTCATTTATTTATTATTTAACTATAAAGCATGGGTTTATGAATATTTGTATGATATTTTGGGTTATAATTCAATACTACTCTTATTTATTTTTGCTCACATTATGCCAGCTTTGGCCACTGGGTGATCTTCAGTGGCTCTGTGCACCTTTGGCCACACCCCCATTAGTGTGTGTGTGTGTGTGTGTGTGTGTGTGTGTGTGTGTGTGTTTGCCTGCACGAGCATGCGATTGGAATATTTCCTTTATGGCACTACAAGGTGCCTCAGGCTCACCTTGTACATTTCCTGTCACTAGAATCAGCCACTTCTCCAAGGAGCCCTGGTTATTTTTATTAGACAATGGTATTAGAAACTAATATCTGGGCATTACTAGTGCTCATTGCTACTGTGATACTGTTTCTGAGTCCTCTAGCTGACAGAGAATGGTAATGTATTTGTACATACTAATCCAGGTCATACACAAATATCTATAAATATTTCTATATTTAATGGTGTATGTCTATATTCAGCCAAATATTAATTCATACTAATGTCTACAACTCTAATCCATTGCCACATGAATCATTCCAGCCCTTTTCCCTTACTTATCTGTAAATGCCCACTCCAACAGTGGTAAATCTGGCTCCTGCCTTCCACCAACCATCCAATTCGTTGTTCAGTTCTACTCTATATGTACAGTGGTATCAGAACGTTTAACCTGTAGCCAGTGGGAAACAGTGTTATTAACTAGAATGCAGTGGCAGTGCTGTGTACAGTTTCTTTTGACTGTGTCTTACAGACTCAACTCATTTCCAAAGTTGCTTATGTCAGCACCTTTTCCCCTCCCTCTTCAGTGAGGTTGTGTAATGCATTTTTAATAAAGTTGGTTTTGTCACATTCTGCATTCCATTCTAGGATTCCCTGACCTCCTAAATACGATTTTAAATTTACATACATCAAGATTTACTTTTTATCCTCAGTGTAATGTATCCACATTGTGTCATACAAAATAGTTTCACCACCCTAAAAGTTCTGAGCTTCACCTATTCACTCCCCAACCCCTGAAAATGGTGATTTTTATGATCACTGTTTTTGCCATTTTCAGAATGTCATATAATGGAAATCATACAGTATCAGTCTTTTCAGATGGGCTTCCTTCAGTTAACAACATGCATTTAAGATTCATCCATCTCTTTTCTGGCTTAATAGCTCATTTCCTTTTATTACTAAATAGTATTTCATTCTATGGCTACACCACACTTTCCCTATCCATTCACATATTGTAGAACATCTTGGTTACTTCTAGTTTTTAGTGGTTGTGAATCAGCCTTCTGTAAACTTTTGCATGTAGATTTTTTGTGTGGATGTAAGGTTTCAACTCCTTTGGGTAGATATCTAGGAAAGTGATTGCTGGATCATATGGTGAGAGTATGTTTAGCTTTTTAGGAAACCATTAAACTGCCTTCCAAAGTTGACAGTGTCATTTCGCATTCCCATAAACAATGAGTGATTGCTCCTATTGCTCTGCTTCCTCCCCAGTCGTTGGTATCTCCAGTTTGTTTTTGTATTTTTGCCTTTCTAAATAGTGTGTAATAGTACCTCATTGCTTTTTGTTGTTGTTGTTGTTTGTTTGTTTTGAGATGGAGTTTTGCTCTTGTCGCCTAGACTGGAGTGCAGTGGTACAATCTCAGCTCACTGCAACCTCTGCCTCCTGGGTTCAAGTGATTCTCCTGCCTTAGCCTCCTGAGTAGCTGGGGCTACAGGCACGCACCACCACGTCTGGCTAATTTTTTGTATTTTTAGTAGAGACAGGATTTCACCATGTTGGCCAGGCTGTTCTCAAACTCCTGACCTCAAGTGATCCATCTGCCTTGGCCTCTCAAAGTGCTGGGATTACAGGCGTGAACCACCAGGCCCCGCCTCATTGCCGTTTTAATTTGAAAATCCCTAGTCACCAATGATGTTCAGCAAATCTTCTTATGTTTATTTACCATCTGTGTATCTGCTTTGGTGAGATGTCTGTTCAGATATTTTGTTGATTTTATATTGGAGTTGTTTTCTTATTGTTGAGTTTTAAGAGTTGTTTATTAAATATATATTTTGGGTACAAGTAATTAAGCAAATTTGTATTTTGCAAATATTTTCTGGTCTGTGGCTTATCTTTCAATTCTTCCCCTTGCTTTTATTTAAATTAGCACATTGTGTATATTTATGGGTTAAAATGTGATGTTTTGACCTACATATATATACATTGTAGAAAGATTTAATCAAGCTAATTAACACATTCATCATCTCACCAACTTAACATTGTGTGTGTGTGTTGAGAATGTTAAAAATCTATTCTTTTAGTGATTTTGAAATATGCAACATGTTATTATCAGGTGTGGCCATCATGCAGTGCAATAGATCACTTAACTTTATTTCTCCAGTCTAAGGGAGACTTGGTACCCTTTGATCCATATCTTCTCCTTTCCCATTTCTCTCCTTCATTTTTAGCCCCAGTAACTACCTTTTTTCATTCTGTTTCTATGAGATCAATTTCTTTTAGATTCCACATATAAATGAGATTATACAATATTTGTTTTTTGGTACCTGGCTTATTTCACTTAGCATAATGTCCTCCAGCTCCATCCATGATTCTTTTAAAAGTATCTTTCACAGAGTAGATGTTTTTAATTTTAAAATATTGTACAACGTATGAATTTTTTCTTTCATGGATCATGATTTTGCTGTTCTATCAAAAACTTTATCGCAAAACCCTAGATTTTCTCTTATGTTTACTTCTAGAAGTTTTATCATTTTGTATTTTATAATTAGGGCCCTGATACATTTTCAGTTAATTTTCATGAAAGGTATAAGGTTTGTGTCTGGGTTTTTTTTTTTTGTTTTTTTTTTTTGGTATATGTATGTCCAATTATTCCAGCCCCATTTTTGAAAAGACTTTTTTTTTTCATTGACTTGCCTTTGTTCCTTTGTTAAAGATCAGCAGACTCTGCATAGATTAATTTCTGGGCTCTCAATTCTGTTTCATTGACCTATCTACCTATTCTTTTAAATATATGCTGTCTTGATTATTATAGCTTTATAGTGAGTCTTGAAATTTGGTAATAAAAGGGCTCAACTTTGTTCTTCTTCGGTAGTGTATTGACTATTCTAGGCCAATTCTAGGAAGGTCTTTGTCCTTCCCTTATATTTTAGCTTCTGTTTGTTGATATCTACAAAAGGACTTGCAGATATTTGAATTGTAATTCCAGTAAATCTGTAGACAAAGTCTGGGATAATTGACATCTTAATATTATTGAGTGTTCCCATTCATGAACATGGACTATCATTCTCGATATTGAGCTTTACTTTGATTTCTTTCACCTGAGTTTTATAGTTTTCTGCACATAGTTCCTGTTCACATTTGTCCATATGTATGCCTAGTTATTTTATTTTTGGTGATGCCGTAAGTGGTGTTATGTTATTAATTTCACATCCTAATGTCTTATTTCTGGTACATAGAAAAACAATAGACATTTCCATATTGTGGTAGGGTTAATTATAGCCCCTCAAAAGAAACTCACATACTAATCCTTGGAATCCATTGCTATGTTATCTTATATGACAAAAGGGACTTTCCCAATATAATTACATTAAGAATCTTGAGATAGGGAGATTATTTGGGGTTATCTGGGTGTACCCAATGTAATTACAAGGGTCTACATAAGAGGAAGGCAAAAGAGCAAAATCAGAGCTGCCAATGTCATAAAGCTATGCTGATTATTTGATGATGAAGAGAGGGGCCATGAACCAAGGAATACAGGTGGCCTCTAGAAGTTGGCAAAAGCAGTGGAAAGGAACCTTGCTGACCCTGGCTTTGGTTCAGGCAGACTGTATTTGGGCTTCTGACTTCTGTAACTGTAACAATGAATTCATTCTGTTTTAAAACACTAGTCCTATGGTAGTTTACTACAGCAACTATAAAAAAATTTAAAAATACATAGTAACAATCAAATTATGCAAACATATAATAATACAAAATTTATGTATAATACTATATATAGTAACAATACAAATATATATATTTGTATATATATATAGAGAGAGTGTGTATCCTGTAACTTTGCTATACTACTGTATATATAGTAATGGTACAAATTATACATATAGTAACAATACAAACTATGTATTCATATAATACTATATATACATGACTGTGTATCCTGTAAATTTGTTATACTACAAATTATTTTCAGAATGCCCATTTTGTTGACTTTTTCAAAGTAGAATCTTTGGAACTTTCTTGATAGACAGTCGTGTTATCTGCTTAAAAAAAAGACAGTTTTTATTCTTCCTTCCAATCTGTTATATATTTGTTCATTTTCCTGTTTTATTGCACAAGCTAGAAATTCCTGTATGATGTTGAATAGGAGTGGTGAGAAGAAGCAACTTGTCTTGCTCTTTGTCTTAAAGGGAAAGCATCCAGTGTCTGGCCATTAGCTGTCATGTTAGCTGTAGGTTTTTGTAGATGTTCTTTACCAAGTTGTGGAAGTCCCCCTCTATTCCTAATTTTCTGAAAGTTTTTATCATTAATGGGTGCTGGTTTTTATCAAATGCTTTCTCCACATCTATTGGTATGATGATATATTTTGTTTTCTCTAACTTGTTGATGTAGCGTATTAGAGTGAATCTTTTTTTATTTTTGAGATTGAGTTTCACTCTGTCACCCAGGCTGGAGTGCAGTGGTGAGATCTCAGCTCACTGCAACCTCCGCCTCCCACGTTCAAACAATTCTCCTGACTCAGCCTCCTGAGTAGCTGGGACTACAGGCGTGCACCACGACACACAGCTAATTTTTTTTTTTTTTTTTGTATTTTTAGTAGAGACAGGGTTTCACCATGTTGGCCAGGCTGGTCTCAAACTCCAACCTCAGGTAATCCACCTGCCTCAGGCTCCCAAAGTGCTGGGATAACAGGCGTGAGCCACTATGCCCAGCCTTAGAGTGATTACTTTTTAAATGTTAAACCAGTCATACATTCCTAGAATAAATTCCACTTGCTGCTCTTTCTGTTTTTATTATCTGGAAGATATTATAGAGGATTTGGTTCAGTCTTTTTAAAATACTTGGCAGAATTTTCTAATGAGGCCGGGCATGGTGGCTGATGCCTATAATCCCAGCACTTTGGGAGGCTGAGGCGGGTGGATCACTTGAGGTCAGGAGTTCGAGACCAGCCTGACCAACATGGCAAAACCCGGTCTCTACTAAAAATACAAAAATAAGCCAGGAGTGATGATGGGTGCCTATAATCTCAGCTACTCGGGAGGCTGAGGCAGGAGAATCATTTGAACCTGGGAGGCGGAGCTTGCAGTGAGCTGTGATTGCACCATTGCACTCCAGTCTGGGTCACAGGGCAAGACTCCATCTCAAAAAAAAGAAAGAAAAAAAGAAACAAAAACAAAATTTCTAATGAAACCATTTGGGCCTGCTGTTTTCTTTTTGGAAGGTTATTAGTTATGTTCAGTGTCTTTAATACAAATACACCTGTCAAGATAATCCATTTCTTCTTGTACAAGTTGGTCTATTTCACGGAATTGGTGCATTTCATCTAAGCCAGAGGTCCTCAACCCTTGGGCAATGGACAGGTCCCAATCCATGGCCTGTTAGTAAAAGGGCCACACAGCAGGAGGTGAGTAGTGGGTGAGTGAGCATTACCGCCTGAGCTCCCCCTCCCATCAAATTCTCATAGGAGCGCAAGCCCTATTGTGAACTGCCTGCATGCAAGGGATCTAGGTTGCATGCTCCTTATAAGAACCTAACCAATGCATGATGATCTGAGGTGGAAGAGTTTCATCCCAAAACCTTCCCACCGCACCACCCTCCTGTGCAGGGAAAAATTATCTTCCACAAAACCAGTCCCTAGTGTCAAAAATGCTGGGGACCACTGATCTCAGCCATCAAATTTGTGGGCATGCAGAGTTGTTTCTAGTATTTTTGCATATTTCTTTTTATGTCCATAGCATCAGTAGCTATGACCCTGTTTTCATTTCTGATATTGTCAATTTGTAGTACATTTATTTTTTTCTTGGTTACCTTAACTAGAGATTTATCAATCAATTTTATTGATTTTTTTAAAGAACAGCATTTCATTTCTTTGATATTCTCAATTGTTTTCCTGTTTTAGATATTATCAATTTCTGCTCTAATTTTTTTATGCTTTTCTTCTATAACTTCAGATGATCAATTTTGGATCTTCTTCTCTTATATATTCAGTAATACTATTAATTTCTGTCTAAGCACTGCTTTCATTGCATCCTACAAATTTTGATAAATTGCATTTTCATTTTTCTTTAATTCAAAATATTTTATATTTCTCTTGAGCCTACTTATTTAGATCGTGCGATATTTAGAATTGTGTTATTTAATCTCTGCTATAGGTTAAATGATTGTCGCCTCAAAATCTCATGTTCAAATTTGATCCCAGTGTTGGAGATGGGGCTTCATGGGAGGCATTTGGGTCTTGGAGGTGGATCTCTCCTGAATAGAGTAATGCCCTCCCTTGGTGGGTGGATGAGCACATTCTCACTCCATTGGTTCCCACAAAAGCTGGTTGTTAAATAGAGCCTGACCCCTCCCTCTTCTCTCTCTTGCCTTCCCTCTCACCACGTGATCACTGAACATGCTGGCTGCCCTTCACCTTCTGCCATGAGTGGAAGCTTCCTGAAGGGCTCCAGGAAAATGGTGGCATGATGCATCTCGTATAGCCTATAGAACTGTGAGCCAAATAAACCTCTTTTCTTCATAAATTATCCAGCTTCATGTATTCTTTTATAGCTACACTAAACCAGTTAAGACAATCTCCAAATATTTGGGATTGTCTAGCTACTTTTCTGTTCCCGATTTCTAGTTTAATTCCACTGTGACCTGATAATATATTTCCTATAATTTTTATTGTTCTACATTTGTTCCTGTGTGTTTTATGGCCCAGAATGTGACCTATCTTGCTGTATGTTCTATAGAAGCTTGGGAAGAACATATGTTATGCTGTTTGTAGGTAGTATTTTATTATATAAATGTCAATTATATCATATTGATTGATAGTGTTCCTCAAGTCAACTGTATTCACTGATTTTCTACCTGCTGAGCTATGAATTACTAAAAAAGAAGTTTGAAGTCTCCAACTGCAATAGTGAATTTGTATATTTCTCCCTTTAGTTCCATCAGCTTTTGCATCATTTTTAGGTGTTTTTGCTCTGTTGTTAGGTGAATAAATGTTTAAGATTGTTGTCTTTTTTGAGAATTGATCCCTTTATCGTTATGTAATGCACCTCTTTTCCCTTATAATTTTTCTTGCTCTGCTATCTTCTTTGTTCACAACTAATAAAGTTCTATGCAATTTTAAAAATTAGTGTTAACAAGATTTATATTTCTTAAAACCTTTACTTTTGACCTATGTCTCTATATTTCCAATGAGTTTCCTGTAGATTAAATATAGTTGGATTTTTTTTACCACTATGAACACCTTTGTCTTCAAATTGGCTTCTTTACACCGTTTAGATTTAAAATGACTATTGATATTATTAGGTTAATATCCACCATATTTAAACTGTTTTCTATTTGCTATATTTGTTCTTTATTTTTTACTTTTCCTACTTTTCTGCCTTTTCTGATTTTAGTAGGACATTTTGCACAATTTTATCTTCTTTTTTAGCATATTAATTATACATATTTTAAAAATATTTTAAGGCCAGGCACAGTGACTCATGCCTATAATCCCAGCACTTTGGGAGGCTGAGGCAGGCAGATCACCTGAGGTCAGGAGTTCAAGGCCAGCCTAGCCAACATGGTGAAACCCCATCTCTATAAAAATACAAAAATTAGCCAGGCATGATGGCAGATGCCTGTAATCCCAGCTACATGGGAGGCTGAGGCAGGAGAATCACTTGAACCCAGGAGGAGGAGCTTGCAGTGAGCCATGATCATATCACTGCACTCCAGCCTGGGTGACAGAGTGAGACTGCAACTCAAAAAAAATATAAAAATAAAAATATTTTAATGGTAGCCTGAGTTTCCAACATACATTTTAAGTAATCTAACTCCACCTTTAAATGACACTATGCCACCATCATTGCTGTCATTCACTTCACTAATCATATGATACCATCATCGTATTATTACTTTAAATAGTTATTTTTAGATCAATTAAGAATAAGAAAAGAAAAAAAGATTTTCTTTTACCTTTATTTATTCCTTCTTTGGCACTCTTCCTTTGTTACGCAGATTTGAGTTTCTGAACTTTATCACCTTCCTTTTCCGTGAGGAACTTCTTTTAATATTTTCTTACAGGGAAGGTCTGATGGTGATTATTTCCCTCAGCATTTGTCTGAGGAAGTCTTTATTTCTCAAGTTTGTATTTTTTTTCTTTATTTTAGCATTTAAATACTTCACTCCAGTCTTCTTGCTTCTGTGTTTCTGATGGGAAGTCTAATTTAATTCTTGTCCTGTTTTGCTGTAAGTCAGGTTACTTTTTCTCTGACTCCTTTGAAGATTTTCTTTTTGTCTTTGGTTTTCTGAAGTTTGTGTATAATTGTTTTGGTATTTCTCCTGTTTACTGTTCTCTACTTCTTGACTTGTGATTTGCTGTGGTTAATTTGGGAAAATCCTCTGACAGTGTTACTTCAAATATTTCTTTAGTTTCTTGTTCTTGTTCTTCTCCTTCTGGTATTCCAAATAGATGTATATTATACTTTCGAAATTATTTCTGTTGACTTATCTTCAAGCTTACTCATTCTTTCCTCAAACTTGTTCTGTTGATGAACCTATTGAAGACATTCTTTATTTATGTCAGTGATTTTTATTATTTCTAGCATTTCCTTTTGATTGTTTCCTAGAGTTTCCATCACTCTTCTTACATTACACATCTATTTTTGCATGTTGACTGTTTCCTCCATTAGAGTCTTTAAAATCTAAAACAGTTATTTTAAATTCTCTATCTGATAATTTCCAAATTTGTGTCAAATCTGAGTCTGGTTCTGATGCTTGCTTTGTCTTTCTGACTTGTTTTTTCTTGCTTTTTTTCATACCTTAAAATTTTCCATTAAAACCCATACATAATATATTGAAGAGTAATCAGTGAGGCAAACAGGCCTTTAGTGAGCATTTTTTGTTGTTATTATTAATCTGGCTGAGAATCAAGCTATATATAATGTTTGCTGTAGATGTAGGTAGCGGTGGCTTCAAATTCCTCTAGTATCCTTATTTTGTCTCCACTCTTGACTTTGGGCATCCTTATATACTCCTCCACAGAGAGTCTGTGTTTTCTGGCTCTTTTAGGTGTAATCCACAGTTACATTGGAGCCCTGTTAGTGTGGTGAGAAGGTTGGCATAGGGGAAGTATTCTATACTCTTATGATTACATCACAGTCTTTTAGGGGGTCCATGTCCCTTACAAGCATTTCTTAGCTTTGCTTCTCCCCTTACAAGGAACAGGAAGGATATTGGTGCCCAGAGTGTGAAAAGTGACCTTACCTCAAGTGGGATAAGTCTCTGCTAAAGGTTTTATCCCTCACTGGAGGGTAGGTCTTTGTTATGGAGAATATTCTGGGTATATTTCACAATAACTTCTCTTCCATGCGCCCCACATGACCATGATGGCATTTTCTCAACTCTTTACTGTGAGAGCTTGGTGGGGCTTCTGGAGGTAAAATCCACAACTGTGTGGGATTCCAAGAGTGTGACCCCAGGAGTTTATCACTCTCACGCAACTCCACACTAGCGCTCCGGAAAATCATCAGCATTACCACTGAAGTGCTACCAAGAGTTTGTTTCTAGTGGTTTCTGCACCGGGTAAACAGATCTCAGCTGTGACTCCCCTAATTCATCTATCTTTGCAGATTTCTGGGTGGCTGTTTGCTGTAGGAACTTCATTCTCATTTGGATACACGAATTGTCACTGATTTTCAGTTCACTCAGGTTCTTCTTGTGGTAAGAGTGGAAGCAATGACTTTTAAGAACTTTACACATTGGAGTTAAAGCCAGATGTCTCTTAATGTACCTTTTTTTGACCTTATGCTCTCCTGTTTTATTCTTCCCTCACTTTATGGCTCTTCTATCATGCTATAAGCAGCAAGAGAAAAATAGTGTCTTCCCCACTGCCCAGAAATCTCCTTAGCCATGTAGCCAAGTCTATCAGGTATATCTTCTGTTTTCAGCATAACTGCAGACCACATTAGCACTAGGCTTTTGTCATATCATAATAAACATCTCTCTTCCAATGAGATCACAGGGAGCCATCTCAGAATCAGCCTACTATAACTCCCATCACTATTTTATATGATTAATACAAAGGCCAGTAAATTCAGTGCCATGTGGCCAGCTTTACTAATAAATCATATTTTTGATGGTAAAATCTGTAGCTTACAGATATGATTGTATTCATTAGAGATCCATTTTTCGTCCTGGATAAGCAAGACAACACAATAGATTACACAACGTTAGGCTTGAAGAAACAAAGTACAAGGGAGGTGAGGGGTCCTCAACATTTCTCTTTTCCTCCATCGCTGCCCATTCCCAGACTCTCTCCCACAGCTCACTCTCCTTCTGGACACCTGCGAGTTCTGTCCTTGCTTCTCTGCAATGTAGCTGTTGCTTTCAACACCCCGAAGCATCTTTGCTATGGCTCTTAAGCTGAAACAAACGCAGACCACCCCAAGCCTCATGTGATAGAGGAATCCTCAAAGCTGAAATCTGGACAAGTCTAAACTTTCAACTTCCTTTCCTAACAGGAATAAGGAAATCAGTATATAGAACAAGTTGAATATGACTTAGGATTTACAAAATGTAATGCAGCCTCACGTCGTTGGGTTCATTCGGCTACCAATTTAGCTTGCTTGACAACTACATATGTTGCTTTTAAACAATTTCATTAGGAATGTAAAAACACGCAAGTCAATATCTGAGAAAAGAATGGATATCTGAGAATAGCATTTGGGTTTCTACTAACTTGCTCTGATGAATAAGCTGTAAGTCACTGTTATGCCAACAATTCTGTGAGTTTTTAAATAAAATTTCGGTGACAATTTCATGTTTCTGATAGTAAAATTTTAAGTTCGGTGCTTTTACTATCTTTCAGTAGTCCATTCTTTACACCAACTAAGCAGGCTGCAAGACACTAAAAATGAACTTACCTTTTGTGCATTATATTTTTACTGGTTAAACTTTCTACCATCTTTCAGAAGAGTGGGAAAGTTTAAGTTTAGCTACTTGCTATGCAAACTCATATCCAGCCTTTACAGCAGAGGGAGGCCGAAGCAATAACCAGGGACATTTTTAATGCAACTAAAATGTTGCTGTCTCACATTTAACCCTGTATCTGGGAGAAGCACGAATTGAATTTATTGTAGATCATTCTTTCTCATCAATCTAGAGGCAGGACTGAGAGAAAAGTATCCATGGTAATGAAGGTTTTCCTATGATGAACACCTAACACTTCCACAATTAAGTTAGTATTAGCATTCATCAATATTTTCTGAATGCATTTTGAGCTTTCAATAGAGGTGATGTTTCTGCCCAACACTCATACCAAGTACATAATTGACACCTTGGCATCTAGGGCAATTCTGGAATGCCCTGAACCCAATAATATCATGAACCAATTGCCAGTAACTCTAGATACACACTGCAAAAGCTCTACATTCCTAGGACCTATGATTGATCGTAGTATATTTGTAGGCACATCATGTAAAGTAAGTAAATGCAAGTAAATCCAGTTGAACTTGGAATTTTGGTTGCTTTGGCACTTTCTGCCATGATGAAAGACCAGTGATTACATAACCCCAGGCTAGCTGTGAAATAGTTCAAAATTGCCTTTGGCAAACAATTCCCACCAATCAGAAGACTGTTCTACATATCTTCTTCTGTGGAGACCTATACCATCATACCCACTATCTGCCCCTGGAGTGTACCCCGTGAAAGCTCCGTAGGCTTCCTAGGGCTTATTGGAATGCTAGCTCTGCTGTGTTTTAAAAATTTAATCATCCTGTGCTTTGTTTCCTACCTTCCAGTCTATTAGGTCTTTCCTGTTGATATTCTTTCCTAATTATTTAGCTTTTAGATAGTCTTTTCAATGCATCTCATAAAGAAAGAGAAAAGGGCTATTAAAGCCTTGCAGTGGGCAGTGATAGGAATAAATGTAACTCTTTGGCAGGAGGCTGTCCTAAGGTTTCTGCACTACTTTGAAAAAGTCAACAGCCAGGGGTAGGTGAAGCCCATAGTATTTTTACTGTTAAAACATCTACACATAACTAATCCTGACTGTGCTCTGTCTTTGGAAGATTATTCCAAATGGCATTGATGCTGGAGGAAGAACTGCGGAGAGGGACCATATGGACCTCCATTGACATTGCCACCGTCTTTCCCATGCATTGCAGCAGACTCTGTTGGGGCCCTGCCCATATCCTCTTGGCACTGGCTGTATCTGTGCCCACCAGCCTGACTTTCAATTGCAAGCACCTACGTTGGCTGCCTGAGGGCTTTTGCTGCAGCCTGTCTGGGTGTATGGCAGCCTGGGGGTTTCATGGAATTTTTGTCCCCACCCACAGCCCTAGAGAACTCACCAGTGGGACTTGGCAGATAAATACCCCAGCCCTCAACCCTAAGATAGGATAACTTTGAGGCACATGTCCCACCCTGTCTTTCTGATTTCCCAGGGCCCACACTGGTCACTTGACTAACAGCACACCCTGTATTGGCTTCCCTTACCTTCCATATCTCATAGGGTGGTCACGGTAACGCCCTGGAAGAACTCCAAGTACCTAGAGAGGAACAATGAAGGCCTCTGCTGCTGTGCTTTGGAATCCACGGCAGCATTTGCGTGCAATCACACCTTCCTACTCCTAGCCAATAACGGGAGTATGGCAGGGATACTAGCGCAGGCCTCGCCCTGGCAGGTGTGGGACCTTGCTGGTAGCCAGCTCTGGTTCAAGGACTTCCTGAAGAACTTTTTCATACCCTAGAAGTCACCCAAGCATATTTCCTTCCACTGGGAGCAGACTTAAAGTTTTAATCTGCTAACATCCCAGGCACTCTGTTTTTTTTTCCCACGCAGGTTATTTTCCCTAATCAAGTCCTTTCATGTTTATTCCCAACATGGTGTCTGTTTCTTGAAGAACAAGGACTAATACATTTTAATTCCCACTCCCCGCATAGTGTTCTTGGCCTCACCTTCCCACTGAACTTCTTGAATGTGATAATCCTTGATTTAGAGGTTATTTCTAGGAAGAACCCTGAATCAAGGCATATTATGAGACATACGCTAACAACCATAACTTTAGTTTAACTTTTCACTGCATAAAATTATATAATAATTAGAACTAGAAGGGGCCTCAGATGAGATATAGCTCAGCATACTCATGTTTCATATAAAGAATGAAGAGAAATTAGTTTATCTCTCAGTTGAGATCCAGGCAGCAGTAGGAGATAACTTCGGATAATTATTGTGAGCATAAGTATTGTAGATTGATGACCTACCTATCAAAGCAATCATTCCAAACAATTAATACAAAATTGTTTGAATATGCACCTCTCTTACAGCAGGATTTTTACACCAGTAGGTTGTAAATCCCAGGAGTACAAGAGCTATGAATTTGTAGATTCCTTGCAATAGGTTACAAGAGTCTAGATTCTGGATATGTAAAGTAGTTAATTCACCTATACACAACTATTTTCAAAATGTACTTAGAGGCTACTATGAATAACATTGTTAAGGGAATTAGGATTTTATTAATAAAAATATCTATTTTAATCCAGTATCTAATTTTATCAGCCAGTATGTACCACTATTTCAGCTACTCTCTGGTAAAGTCATGGATTGTTATGACATTTGCAGAGTGGATTTCATACTAGGAAATTTTGGAAAATAAAGATCTGTTCCATTTACCTACTCTAAATAAACCATGCAATTAGGATTAGGTGAATCCTTCCCTAATGTTTTTTTCTTTGACTAATAAAATCACAAATCTTAATTAAGTTGTATTTGTCTGATTATATGGCACTCCTGAAGATATGCATGTGCTTTTTGAATTGATTGTGTAAGTTAATTCGATGTACCAAATGTTATTTCTAAAACTCTATAACATTCATATGACAAAGTCCATTCATTGTCTAGGTCTTACTATATTAATTAAATGTTAAAATTATGCTGATTGAATTCAGCAAACTGACATCAATATTCCACTTGTTTTTTCCTTACTGGTTTGTTTTCATCCACCATCGCTGTATGTCCCTTATATATACTAACCATATATTCCTTCTGACTGCCCCACACACTTTTCTTTCCCTGATTCTGTTTCAGGCACGCTGGCTGCTTCCCACATTTGGAGCAACCTCCTTCATCCATTCTGGCAAACACTCTTTTCTTTGAAAACTCAAATGTATTCAAACACCTCTTTCTTTGAAACTCAGATGCGTTCTCAGTTCCTCAGTGAGACCTGCACACTTTAGCACAGACAGCTCTACTGACTCGAATGCACTAATTCCTCAGGAATTTGTGTCAAAGTATGATATTGATGGTCAATATACACACCATCACACCTATACAAAATATAGGTCAAATGTGACTCTTCAAATTTAGAGCCTGTTTCTCTGAAGGCAATTTTCCACTCCACACATTGAAGCACTAAAATATTTCAATGCAGAAACATAAAAGTTGCTCGCTCTCTCTCTCTCTCTCTCTCTCTCTCTCTCTCTATATATATATATATATATATAATTTATTATAGTTTGATATATAAATATATAAAGAAAAATAAATGAGTTATTACAGTTTGAAAAAAGTCATTGAGGCTCTTTTTATTGACATGGGTGGAACTGGCTAGACTCAGTCTCCTTAATGATTCTTCAATTACATTCTACAGCTTCATTAGTAGAACCTTATGAATTTAGCAAAAATCTGGGCTGGTTTACTTTCTGTTTTTTGAAACAGGGTCTCACTCTGTCACCCAGATTGGAGTGCAGTGGTGTGATCCCAGCTCAATGCAACCTCCATTTCCCAGGCTCAAGTGATCCTCCCACCTCAGCCTCCTGAGTAGCTGAGACCACAGGCAGGCACCACCACACCTGGTTAATTTTTTTTGAATTTTTATTAGAGATGGGTTTTTGCCATGTTGGCCAGGCTGGTCTCAAACTCCTAAGCTCAGGTGATCCACCCACCTCAGCCTCCCAAAGTGTTGGGATTATAGGCATGAGCCACCATGCCTGGCCTGGGCAAGATTACTTTTGTATTCTCTATGAGGATGAGTTTGACTAAGCAAATCAATAATGTAAACAAAACTGAACTACTTAAGAGAAAAAATTATTTTCACACATTTAGCATATGAGTTATCTTTCTTGTCATGTTAAACATACATGACATGCAAAATACCATTTTAAAGTGTAGAATTCAGTAGTGTTAAGTGCACTCACAATGTTGTGTAAACATCACTGCTATCTTGTTCCCGAGCTTTTTAATGATACCAAATGGAAACCTCGTCTTTCTAATTGGAAATATCCTCATTTGAAGTCTACAAGAATGCTCATTACAGCATTGCTTGTAATGCTGATGAGAAGTTGGAAGTTGGAAACAACCTAAATATTCTTTACCGGGACAGCATTGGGACAAATACCTAATGCTTGTAGGGCTTAAAACCTAGATGACAGGTTGATGGGTGCAGCAAACCACCACGGCACATGTATACCTATGTAACAAACCTACACATTCTGCACATGTATCCTACAACTTTTTTTAAAAAAAGAAAAAATTATCTATAGAGGTGGGAAAAGAGTGGAAATGTGATATGGGTATAAAAAAATTAACAGATAAACAACAACAAAAAAGCCTTATTGGCTATCACTATTTCTACTTAACGTGATGCTAGATGTCCTAGCCAGGACACTAAAGCAAGCAAAATAATTAAAAGACAAAAAGATATAAACGAAGTAACACTGTTGTTATTTGCAGAAGATATGACATGAAGAAAACACTACGGGGTTTACAAATAAAGGACCAGATCTAATAATTGATGATGAACTGAGCATCATCAATACACAAAAATCAATTTTTATCTATACGCTAGCAATGAAAAGTTGAAAATAAAAAATTTAAAAGTACCACATACAAAAGCATCAAAATAGCATAAAACTATTAGTAATAAATTTAGTAAAAGTTGTGCAAATCTGCTACATGAAAAATAGCAAAATATTACTGAGAGAAATTAAAGAAAGCTAATTAAATGGAGAGATACAGTTTATGAATCAGAAAACTCAATACTGTATGATATTCATTATTTGCCATATAAATTGTCATATAAATTGATACCTGAACATAAAATTTATCTGGAAATGCAAAGAACATATAAAATACAAAATGATTTTGAAAAAGTATAAAGTTTAAGGACTTATACTATCTGATTCCAAGATTTACTATAAAGCCATAGGAATAAAGGCCCTGTGGTATTGGTGTAGGAAGAGAAAAAGAGATTGATGGGGTAAATTTGACTCACACATATATCATCAACTCATTTTCAAGAGATTTGTCGTCATCAATTGATTTTCAACAGAGACACGAGAGCTAGTCCATGAGGAAAGGAAAGCATATAACAAATTTGCTGGGACAACTCGATATCCACATGAAGAAAACACTAAGCCTTCATTCATAAAATAGATCATATACAAAATTTCATTAGAAATAGATCATGGGCTTAAACAAAACCATAAAATTTCTAGAAGAATAACTTTGCAAACATGAGACCGGCAAAAAATTTAAAACAGAAGACAGTGGTATTAACTATAAAAGAAAAAATGCAAAATTGAACTTCATCAAACTTAAAATAGTCTGCTCTTCAAGAAGACAGTATTGAAAAAATGGAAAGGCTAGGTACAGATTGCAACCAGATATTCCCAATACATATGTCTGCCCAAGATTTATAAAGAAGTCTTATAACTAAATAATCAAAAGACAAGCTATCAATAGAAAATGGTCAGAGGACTCAGCAGACACTTTACAAATGAAAATATATGAATGGCAAATGAGCACATAAGACAATGATCAACATTATTAGCCATCAGAACAATGAGAATTAAAACTGTATTAAGATACCACTTTGTGGCCAGGCGCGGTGGCTCACACCTGTAATCCCAGCACTTTGGGAGGCCGAAGCGGGCGGATCACAAGGTCAGGAGTTCAAAACCAGCCTGACCAACATGGTGAAACCCAGTCTCTATTAAAAATACAAAAATTAGCCTGGTGTGGTGGCAAGCACCTGTAATCCCAGCTACTCAGGAGGCTGAGGCAGGAGAATCGCTTGACCCTGGGAGGTGGAGGCTGCAGTGAGACGAGATCGCACCACTGCACTCCAGCCTGGGCGACACAGTGAGAACTTGTCTCAAAAAAAAAAAAATGTGAGGGTGGGGGAAGAATATATTCATAAATGGAAGTACTACTCATTGACTGAAAAACAGAGGGCAACAGAGGACACCACTGTATTGTTCCATTTGCATGAACTGTACAATCTACAGTAGAAAAAGCAGGTCAGTCACTGCTGAGCATGGGGCAGGCCAGACTGTCTGCAAAGGGGCACAGGGAGCTTTTCGGAGTTGGGAAAATCTACATCTTGATCAAGGTAGGCTACTCAGGCCTAAACATGTATAAAATTGCATCAAAACCTATAACTAAAATATGTGCATTCTATTGTATGTAAATTACACTACAATAAAATGAATTAGAAATGAGGTAGAACTCCAGCTACTGGCATCGAATGATACCTATAATAGTTTGAGTGGTTAAGTCCAAGACACAGAAAAAGATGTGTAGTATGATCTGATGTATTTAGAAAAGGAGTATGTATGTGTGTTGTGGATACACATTTGTGAAAATTCCAAGATACTTTTTGCCAGTCTTTTCCTAAGCCTAAAGAGTGATTTCCTTTTGTGGAGGGAAGGAGTATCAGCAGTGGTGGTGGTAGGGAGGGGATTTGGAATTTGAGAAATCTGTGAAGAGGAAATACCTTTTTGTTTTGTTTTCATTCCAAATACTGCTTATTGCCTCCCTCTGCCTTTAGTTTTTTCAGCAAGAATTTATTTGATCTTTTAGAAAATAATAAAAGAAAAGCTGTAAATATGTTCTTATCCTCTTTCTGGGTCCTGTGCAACTTGACAGTGACACTTGCATTACAAATTATTTTTAAAATTCTTAATAATAGTTAACACTTACTGTATGAGAGTTATTACATTTACTGTGTGCTCTGTACCATGCTAAGCCCTTTGTGTGTGTTATCTTGATTACTTCTCACAATAGCTTTATGATCAAGTTTCGTGATTAGTAAACGTGGTATCAGAATTCACTCATATGGCCTATTCTAAAGCCTATTGTGAATTGATTGCACTATACTTTCTAAGTTTACAGGGTTTGTTAGTAGCAAAGCCAGATTTCAAATCTCAAACTTCTGATTTGGTTCAGAATTCTTTTTCATTTCTTGGTGGTAATCTCCAAGGTAAAAAATATTTTAAAAGGCATTTAAAATGATTTTATCAAATTTTAGGATAACGGTAGTACACAGCCACAAAAACTAAGAGTAATCTAGTGTATAGTTTTCTAAATATTATTTTGGGTGGAACTTATGGTTAATTCTCATTTGTTATGGAGCAAAGATTGAAGTTACTTTTAAATATCATACACATACTTTTATAATCAGGTGTAAAACTTTGTGTATATACCATTGTCCCTTGGTATCCATGGGGAATTAGTTCCGGGACCCTCCTGCAGATACCGAAATCCACAAATGCTCAAGTTCCTTCTATAAAGTGGTGTAGTATTCATGTATAACCTACACAATCCTCCCATATACTTTAAATCATCATAGATTACCTATAATATATAATACAATGTAAATGCTATGGAAATAGTTGTTATGCCGGATTGTTTAGGGAAATACAAAAAAAGTCTGTACACATTCAGTATAGATACAACCATACTTGTTTTTTAAAATATTGTTTGATCTGTGGTTGTTTGAATCCACGAATTCAGAACCCATGGATACACAGGCCAGACTATACTTACTATTGCACTGGGACTTTCAAAGACTGTTATCTGATAAAATGTTTATTTAGAGACAGGCATATCATACATTGACACCAGAACCTGGTGCCTACCTCTGAGTGTAGGACAAATGTTTAGTACTGAGTGTTAGTTTAGTACTCTCATTGTATTCTTGTAGGTGATGTAGTCATTCAGTATTCAGTATAGTCTTAGAATATTGAATATTCAATATAGTCTTAGAATATTGAATATTCAATATAGTCTTAGAATATTGAATATTCAATATAGTCTTAGAATATTGAATATTCAATATAGTCTTAGAATATTGAATATTCAATATAGTCTTAGAATATTGAATATTCAATATAGTCTTAGAATATTGAATATTCAATATAGTCTTAGAATATTGAATATTCAATATAGTCTTAGAATATTGAATATTCAATATAGTCTTAGAATATTGAATATTCAATATTCAATATAGTCTTAGAAATATTAGAATGTAATACCCCATTCATTGATAGATCTCTCTAGGTTTGTGGAACTGTAAAATAACTTAGTTGTCATTCAGTCTGTGTGTGTATCCTTTGTTGAACATTTGATTCATTCAATTTTTTAAATTTAAGAATAATTGATTAGTTCCTGTTAGTCAATGTTCTTGCAAAAATACTCAACTTCTTCAAAGGAGGAGAAATAATGAAAATAAAAGGATATGGAAGGTGCATCACTCTGGAGCTAATGCCATTTGGGAGCCTTTTCCACACCTCAGCCTGAATATATGGATGGAAGGAGCAGTTGCCCAAACCTACAGAGAGCCAGAGAGAGAGGACGGCCTGAGAGGAGTTATGCAGTGCCTCTCCTGCCTCTGCTCTTCCCAGCCTCTGCTCTTCCCAGCCTCTGATCTCCCACCAGGACCTCATGGTGGTGGAAACCATGCAGAAAGCGAAGGGAAGAGAACCTGCTGATGCAGTACATACAGGTCTGGCTCCAGATACCCAAACCAGGGTAGAGAAGACTGCAGGCTGGATCAGGAGAGACATTTGGAAAACATCCAGCACAGTCTCCAAGATTTAAGAGGAGAATATTGATGGAGCTATATGAAGGACAGACACACAGATAGTACATGACTTCCCTTGAGAAATGGCAAGATGTGGTTATATTAAAACTGGATTTCTTCATGTAAGCATCAGTAATAACCGAGTAGCAACTGCCCTCTTTCAACAATGAGTGAAGTCTCCACTCACTCTGCATCTTACCCTTCCCACTTCATTCAGATTTCCTCTGTACACATTTGGGTTCCAGCTCATTCTCTTACTTATAAAAGGAATTCATTATCAACCAGAGGTTGCATAGAAGATAATTTGCCCAAGCTACCTAGTTACTGGTGGATACAGGTTGAGAACCTAGGAGCATTAGCCATGATAGGTTATCTTACGCTATGGTTGCAAATCATTGCTGAAATATCTGTGGTTTATTATGACAAAGATTTGTATTTTAATTTACTCAAAATCTCCTGTGGGTCACATGGTGACTCAGAGACATGGCCTGTCTCCACTTTGCTGCTCTGTCATCTCAATGTGTGGCTTCCAGGTTAGCACAGCTGGAGAACAGAAGGCCGGAGGGCCACTCAGGGGATTTTGCTCCACCATGGAGGGGATTTTCATCTCTAGTCAGAGTCCCCAGGCTGGAATTACTCACATGGCTCTATCCAACTGCAGGAAAGTTGGGAATTGTAATTTCTGTGTGCCCAAGAAGGAAACAAGCAGCTATTGGTGAGTGTGAGCAATTGCTCCCACAATAAGAATCTTTCATTTTGGTCCGGGCTTTTTTCAGCTTAATAATGCCACTTTTTGTTCTACCTTAGCCGGTGTGTTGACTGTCATATTTGCAATACAGACCTTCAGAGCTATTCGCACAGGAGATAGCAAGAGGAATGCCTGCTGGGGGGCTCAGTGAAGATCCCACAGAGGAAAAGTGACTTGGATTTTGTTTTGAGGCTTGTGTAGGATTTAAAAATGTAAGAAGAATGGTTCAAGTTATTTCAAACTGTCCACATTGACTCAGTAAAGGTAAGTGGGAAGAATTCTCACAGCCTGTCTTGGTAAACCAGGCAAGTCAGTCTTACTCCTAGTAAAACAGTTATGCAGAGAAAAATCAGGTTGGATCTTTGAATGCTTGACTGTGGATCTTGGACTTCACCTCACAGTTAATAGGCAGGAATTGGTTCAATAGCCAGTAATTCTTAGCAGGAGGAAAGATTGTGTCATTTGGATTCTATAGAACCCATTTCACTCTCCATTTGTACTTGCAGATCCAGCTTAACACAATTTTCTTATGTTCTGAAAGTTCAAGCACAAGCACTTGGGGGATAGTTGGCTGTGTGTTTCTGCCTTGGGTTTTCTAAGACTAACCACCCAGTGAATTCTACAAAACCCTGTTAAATGATGTTCCTAGCCATGGAGGACCAGGGAAAGCCAAAGGCAGAACCGTCTCTGTGAGTAATGATACAGCTGCAGACCCTGATGGGGTGCAGTGCATCATTAATAGAACAGGGCATAAGGATGCATGCTGTCAGAGCTACCCCGTCTATTTTTGTGTGACACGGGGGACTTGTAGCCACTGCATTGATTTGCAATGGTGAACTGTCATTTCCAATAACAACTGTCCATGATAATATTTAAAATAATATTGAAAATTCACTGAATATAATATTTTTAAAGGATGTCATCTTTTAAAAAATATATGTGGATTTTAAAGACAAGTAGATGAGTAGAACACCAACGATTATTGTTAAATTATCCTAAATTTACCTGGGATTGCAATAAAGTTAATGTTCCCTAGAAATTGTGAATGGTTGAATTAAAGCATAATAATTGAATGCAAATACCACAAAATTTTTGCTTTTCCACTTTGGCTTTTTGTTTTGTTTTGTTTTGTATTTTTTGAGACTGAGTTTCACTCTTGCTGCCCAGGCTGGAGTACAATGGCGTGATCTCGGCTCATCGCAACCTCCGCCTCCTGTGTTCAAGCAATTCTCCCGCCTCCACTTCTTGAGTAGCTGGGGTTACAGGTATGCACCACCACACCCGGTTAATTTTTTTTGTATTTTTAGTAAAGACGGGGTTTCTCCATGTTGGTCAGGCTGGTCTCGAACTCCCGACCTCAGATGATCTGCCCGCCTCGGCCTCCCAAAGTGCTGGGATTACAGGCGTGAGCCACCGCACCCTGCAACTTTGGCATTGCTAATAACCTATAGGGTTGTCATTAAGTTTTAAAACAGCAAGTAATTTTGTTTATTGCCACCCTGGTTAATCTCCTTCCACTCCTGAGAAAAACAAACAAACAGTGACCTCAATAACCATTTATTTCTGGCACAGCTTTCCCTCTCTCTCTCCAGGTGAAGTTTGTGCAAGCGTGAGTTAAGAGATTTGATGAAATTATTCACCCAGATGTAAGTGTCGGTATGTTATTAATACTTTCTCCAAGAACATGCACATCTTCACCTGGGCTTGCTGCTGCCCCACGTAGTAAGGATGCAACAGTTTGTGGTTCTCTAGAGAGCTTTGCCACCAGTTTTGCAGGGAGAGGGCTTTTAGTGTCTTAGCCATAGTGACATGTAAACAATTGATATGAGAGTTTTTCTTGAGAATGAATTTTTATACAAAGAAAAGGGAGAGGAAGAGAACATTGCTGGCCTTGGAAATCTGAAAAACAGACACAAAACAGGAAAGGAAAGAAAGCAGATTATTTAGTTTACCGTCTTCATAATTTAAGGTTAATGTAGTTTTGATATGCCCCCACCAAATCTCGTGTTGAACTGTAATCTCCACTCTTGGAGGCGGGGCCTGGTGGGGGTGTTTATATCATGGGAGTGCATTCCTCATGGATGGCGTGGGCCATCTCTTGGGTGATGAGTGAGCTCTGAGTTCACAAGAGATCTGGTCATGTAGAAGTGTGTGGCAACTGCCTCCCACTCTTTTGTTCTTGCTTTTGCCATGTGAAGTGCCTGCTCCCACTTCACCTTCCTCTGTGAGTCAAAGCTCCCTGAGCCCTCCCCAGAAGCTGGGCACCATGCTGGTACAGCCTTCAGGCTTGTGAGCCAATTGAACCTCTTTTCTTTAAAAATTACCCCATCTCAGGATCTGGGGCAAAGGTACTCCAACAATAGACGATGCTGTTGGCAATACCTGCTCGATTCCAGCCAAACTACAATGGAACCTGCCCCTGCCAGGGTTTCAGCAGGGCCAAGCTGGAAGCTGATTTTCCACCCTAGCTCCTGTCCCAGGGAAGCAGGCCATGGGCTCCAGTTTCTCTGCGGTGTCAGCAGGATGCAGAGTAAGCCCACTTCCACCAGGCATCGATGATACAGAATGAGGCAACTCAAGGTAGAGTGGTCCGCGTTCTGCTCTCCCTTCCCTCCCGTACTGGCCCTGGGCCCAAAGGAGACTGAACAGATACACAGCCCTGGTGCTACATCTCAACAGAGAAGCTGGCTATTAAAAAAAAAAAAGAGTAGGCCGGGTGCGGTGGCTCGCACCTGTAATCCCAACACTTTGGGAGGCCGAGGTGGGCAGATCACGAGATCAGGAGATCGAGAACATCCTGGCCAACATGGTGAAACCCCATCTCTACTAAAAATACAAAAATGAGCTGGGTGTGGTGGCGCATGTTTGCAATCCCAGCTACTCAGGAGGCTGTGGCAGGAGAATCGATTGAACCCAGGAGGCAGAGGTTGCAGTGAGCTGAGATCGCACCACTGCACTCCAGCCTGGAGATAGAGCTAGACTCCGTCTCAAAAAAAAAAAAAGTAAATAGGATTCACAATCTTATCAAAATGTCCAGAATACAATAAAAAACCACTTATCATAGCAAGAACCAGAAAAATCACAAATGAATGAAGAGTCGATTGAGACTCCAACATAAAGATGACTCAGGTGCTGGGATTACCTGCAAAGAATTTTAGAATAATTGTCATAAAAATGCTTCAATAAGCAATTATGGGTTCTCTTGAAACAAATGAAAAAAATAGAAAATTTCAGCAAAAGTAGAGCCTAGAATTAAAAATGAAAATCATGAGAATACCTCAAATAAAAGGCTACGCATGGGCTCAATATATCATCTCAATGAAATGGAGGTGACAGAGGATGGAATCCGTGACCTTGAGGATAGCTCAGTGGAATTTGTTCCATCTGAAAAACAGAGAAAACAGTTATAGGGCAGCAGAGTCTCATGGGTCAATAACAAAAGAGCTCACATTTGTATACTTGGAGTCCAAGATAAAACAGAAAAATGTTTAAAGCAGCCAGGGAGAAATGAAATGTTGCTTAAAGGAGAACACCAATTCAAATGGTAGCAGATTTTTCATCTGAAACCATGGAGACCAGAAATGAATGAAGTGCTTTTCCAAGTGCTGAAAGAAAATAATAGTCACCTGCCACTTCTATACCCACAGAAATTATCCTTCCAGAATGAAAGGGAAATAAAGAGGTTTTCTAGACAAAAGAAAACAGGAGAAATTTGTTGCATAACAAACCTACCCTTACAGAAGGGCTGACGGAAGCATTTTTTTATTTTTGTTTTTTATTTATTTTATTATTATTGTTTTTGAGATGGAGTCTCATTCTGTCACCCAGGCTGGAGTGCAGTGGCACGATCTGGGCTCACTGCAACCTGTGGCTCCTGGGTTCAAGCCATTCTCCTGTCTCAGCCTCCCAAGTAGCTGGGATTACAGGCGCCGGACACAACACCCAGCTAATTTTCTGTGTTTTTAGTAGAGATGGGGTTTCGCCATGTTGGCCAGGCTCGTCTCGAACTCCTGACCTCAGGTGATCCGCCTGCCTCGGCCTCCCATTGTGCTGGGATTACAGGTGTGAGCCACTGTGCCTGGCCATACCTCATGAGTTTTTAAAAGCGATATTTGATGTTTGAAGCAAAAGTTACTATGCCATCTGATGGGATGCTCAATGCATGTAGAAGAAATACCTGAGACATGGATATTTAAAAGATGGGAAGTGGAAAGACACCTAAAGGAAGGGTGATCCTCCACTTTACTCCACGTGATAAGGCCTCACTTCCGGGGACTGTGATGGGTTAGGGTACATGGTGGATCCATTGACACCGAACTCGCAGTGCTCTGCATGTCGCATGTGCAATGGGGCCAGGGAGCTGCAGGGCTGCCCTGGAGCGGATGAGGGGTGGCTGGAGCTTCGCAGAGGAAATGGGGTAGATTATGTGGGGCTGTTGGTTACATTGAGGCCACTGTAAAGTGATTGGATGTTTTTCTAAATGTAGGTATTTAGTTATTAGAATAAATGAGCAAGAAATGACAGAATCTGACTTTTTTTTTTTTTTTTTTTGAGACGGAGTCTCGCTCTGTCGCCCAGGCTGGAGTGCAGTGGCGCGATCTCGGCTCACTGCAAGCTCTGCCTCCCGGGTTCACGCCACTCTCCTGCCTCAGCCTCCCGAGTAGCTGGGACCACAGGCGCCCGCCACTACACCCGGCTAATTTTTTGTATTTTTACTAGAGACGGGGTTTCACCGTGTTAGCCAGGATGGTCTTGACCTCCTGACCTCGTGATCCGCCCGCCTCGGCCTCCCAAAGTGCTGGGATTACAGGCTTGAGCCACTGCGCCCGGCCGACTTGAATTTTTAAAATATCACCTTAGCTACTGTGTTGAGATTTCAGTGTGAGGGTTAAGGGCAGGTGCAGTACGACGGATTAGGAGGCTATTTCAGGAATCCAGACAAGGCCATTGCGAGTGGAGGGGAGAAGCCAGTGGGTTCTGGGGGATGGTAGTTTCAATACAGAGCCAAAGGAAATCTTGATGGTGGAAAAGAGGGATCTTTAGGATGGCTCCCGGAAGTTTGGCTTCAGTGGCCACTAATTGAGGTGAAGAAGACTGCGGGAGAGCAAGTGGGGTGGAAGATCAGAAGTCTGGCTAGGGTTGAGATGCCGATTAAGCATCCAAGCAGCTGGATATGTAAACCTAGATTTCGGAAGAGAGCTACAGACTTGGGATAAAAAATTGGATGTAGTTACTATGTGGAGAGTGCTTAAAAGGATGGGATTGGATGCGGTCACCTAGGGAGCAGGTGTCAACTTTATTCATGGAACCATACAAATGTAAATATGGACGGAATATCTATAACATCAGCAAACAAGAATGAGGGGCCTCTCTATTTTTTGCTGGTGTACCCCAATTCTCCCTATAGCACCTGGCATATAGTAGTCACTTGATAATATTTACTGAATGAACAGTGACACGTGTGACCTGTCCACCATGACCAGATCAGCATCAGATCTAGAGCAACAGTGGAAATATTCTCATTTCTAATTCAATGGTCGTTTATTGTCCCTAACTCTCCTGCCAAATTTAATTCTCAATATCTTACTCGTGTTCAACACTAAATTCTGATTACTTTATTGGTTGTTATTTTTCATAAGTTATTCTTAAACTTATGATGTCTTTAAAACTAAAATTAACTGCGTTTTTTTCCTATTTTAGGAAAAAATGAAGACAGGCTAATTTTGAGATAAATCAAATTTGAAAGAGAGTAAGATTTTTTTAATTTAATAAAAATGCTTTTACCCATTTTATAGAATTATAACAATATTCAACCCTTTTAAAACATGGTTGCTATAGATTTTCTCTATATCACAAGGAATTCAATACTATATTAGATATTAAAAGCCTAAAAACCTAAAGATTGATGATGGTTTGTGTCTGACAAGTTTTAAAATAATAAGGAAAATAGGTATAGGGAATGTATTGATAATAGAATGTACATTTTCTTAAGTATAGGCTAAATTAGATTTAGGATTGTATTAATTCCAAATGAATCATTTTATTAGCACTAGCTTAGAGGAATAATTTCTTCCATACACAGAAAATTACTGTGTATACTCAATATTACTAAGATATAAAAGCCATTAGGTTTTTGTTTATTATCCTTTTTCTGACTTTTCTCCATATAAGTGAGAAGCAATTATCACTTGAATCAACAATATATATTAATTTTTAAAAATAGAAATAAATATAAAGCAAGGTTATAATTTCTATGACCATAGGCTCTAAGAAACCTAACCCTGTGTTTTCCATAGAAACCATAGTCCAGCGTTTGCTCTGTTCCCAGCAACTTCATAGAACACAGCTACCATGAATAATGAGAATTGACACCACCTCTTTTTAAGCGCTTTAACTTCGACATTTCAATTTGGTTTAAAATTTTAATCCCTCCGTGTGTGTTTGTGTATGTGTCTGTGTGTGTGTGTGTGTGTGTGCATGTGTGTGTGTGTGTGTGTGCAATGAAAGAAAATACATACACTAATTCTCCAAAATTCCTATGGGTGACTTAATCAACATGTATTTCTGAAGTTCTTACTTTCATCAGCATTTTCTTAAGTTCTTTGGAGAACATGGACATATAAAGTATTCATTGCCCTGGCTCCAAAATGTGCAATTTAATGCAGCATACATTGCAAACAAATTTATAAGGAACATCATATTGTAACTAATAAGGGCTACAGGAGCTTACTGGCCTGTCCATACTCTAAAGACTAAAGTGGTCTAATGAAGGGGCTGCTTGGAGGATGCAGAGGCTGAAAATGGTAAGCATTAGGGCAGGTCAGAGAAAGGGCTGTTTATTTCAGGAAGAATACATGATACTAAGCATACCAGAGACATTACGGAAAGTAAATAAAGAGTAGATTTATACTATATGAAACATTTTAGAGTAATATGATGCAATTTACAGCTAATGGGAAAAGACTGCTAAGTTATTGCTGTGTCATAACTATTTTATTGTGATTTAAAAGCTTTGCATAAAACAATATCCAGTATCTTCAGAACTAATATTTTATTTGAAGTACCTTTCTATTAAAACTTCTCTGACCATCTAATTGTATTAAAAATAACATACTGGGAATAGGATGTATCCTCGAATTAAATTGCTTTTCAATGGCGTTAAGGTAAAATAATGCCTGTGTGTTTATTGTTTTTATTAATATGATATATTGTGTGATATCTGGGCCCAACAGCTATCTCAATTGTGGATGATATTTATATAAGAGCAAACTTTAAGCAGATGACAACTCTGCAGATTCTGCAGCGGTAAGCCCTTCTTGACTCTTTTCTGCAGGTTGTGGATGAGAGAGCTGCCCCATGGCTGGGCTGTTTTTACGTATACTGGCTGCTTACAGGATATCACGCTGCTGAATGACGTGTACTTGAAGACCAGCAGAGGGTGGTGGATGTGCCTCTGCCCACGCCGTGTAAAGATGGTGGCAGAGCGGGCCCAACAGCACCCTTGGAGTCTACACAAGAAGATAAAGTCATGCATGGGTAATGTCCTCTGGCTGGTTCTGAAATATATAAAGGCTGCCATTTTTCAGGGACAGAGCAAATTATCTTACACCTCTTTATCCTCTAGAATTTAATTTCAAGTTGCCTAAGTCTGCATAGCTTTCCAGTCTCAGGTGCAAATGGCCCTCAAGTCTCCTGATGTCCACTGAAGCTGTTTGGGGTTTTTGTTTTTACCCGATTTTAATATTTTTTTCTGTGATCCATGCAGAGCTCTAGCATCCTGACTTCTTTAACTAAATTAATACCTTTAATCTGATTGTAGTAAAGTTTTGCTGTAACCTGAGATCCCTTTTCTCTCCCTGGTGACATTGCATCATGCGTCTTTGGTTTTTTGTGGATTGATTTTATTGTTTAGCTCTCAGAGGATGTTCTTATTTCCAAGTAGCTGGAAATTACCAAATACCAATCATAATATCCAGAAGTACAAATTAATAATGGGATAGTAATAAATAGTACAATTTGTACTTATAGTTTATGCCGTTTTTCTAAATTACATGTTGATCCTTTTTAGTGGCAAGCGGCCCATCGGTATTGGCTATTGATAATAATTGAAACAATATGCCATGCGATCCCCTCTAACTGTGCAGATGTAATGAAGCATACATCTGCCAGATGGAAGAAGTTACAGTATAATGTACCCTGACTTGCTGTTGCAGGGTTGCTAAGTACAGTTTTTTTTCGTGTTTTTTTTTTTCCCCCAGCATTTTCACTGGTATCATTGGGTATAGACTCAGTCAGTAGGGTACCTAGCAGTCTGAGCTTGAAAACTTGAGAATTAATTTCAACACACCTTTGACTATTCCCTAATGTTCTCCACTTAAATGTGTCATAGTGAAGCCAAGGGTAACTAGTGTTTTGTGATGAAGAACTGTCCTTTCCTGTACCCACCTGCAAACTTGAGTATACATGTTGGGTGCTGAGTGCTAGAGAGAGAGAAATGATTTACCCCTCTTTAGAGATACCCCATATTGATGAGAGTGATGTGCTTGGGCATGGCTTGGAGAACCAGTGGGGTGTTTGGAATGATGGCTTTTGTCCATTTCAACATTGGAACCCTGATCCTATATTATAATAAGAAAGGTAGACACATGGCAGAATCAAGTATAAATTGCTTATCATAATGTTTGTAGTTCTTTGAGATATAAAAAAGCCTCCCAATTGTCCTATAGAACTGATGTTTATTGTTTCTTTTAAATAAACATAAAAATTGACCTTCCCAGTCTTAAAACTTAAACATGTTACATTTGTATTATCTGAGTTCCTTTCTCAGAAAATAAAGGATCAGGCCTCCCAGACAGTATCAAAGAGCGAAACTTACCAGATCATGGCATCTGGACCATGAGACACCAGACTCATCACCTGTGTTGATTACCTAAACCTGCTTCCTGTTGACCAGTTCTTCTTCTTTACCCCTCCCTTATTCCTGCTTTCCCACACTTGGTTACATTTCTTCCTCACTACATACACCCATCATTTCAGTTGCTCAGGCAGGTGGATTTAAGACTGATCTGCCATCTGCTCTCCTACAGCACCCAATTAAAGCTGTCTTCCATGGCAGTGCTCGTTATATCAATGACTGGCTTTCGGTGCAGCAAGCAACAGGACCTAGACTGAACCCCTGACATTCAGGTAACAAAACCAATTTCCAGAGGACATAGGCTTACTCTGCTACATTTCCTGTCTTCCTCGAATATGGCATCAAGTTTGAAAGTGGCCCTACAACTTTGATGAGTTGACTTTTATGACATTTAAATAAATATGCATTAAGCCAAATTGTCCCCAGGATTTTCCACAAAAATCTCATAATTATAGAGCCTGTGGTGTCTGAGTTCACTTCATTATTTTCCAGGAAAATTTTGAACTAGAAAAAAGAAAATAAAATGCTCCAAAAGTCACAGCGTAAGAACATGTCCTAATTCCCTGTAGATTGCGTGTTCAATGGAAGGAAATGCTCCTTGCTGGGGCGAAGATGCTTCCTAGGGCAATCAGAAATCTGCCAAAAGTTTTGTAGGGGATTTTTTTTTTTTTTTTTTTTTTTTTGCTTTCGAGTTTTTCTCTTATGGAGCAGGATAAATGGATCAGCCTGTTAACAGACTAGGCAGATGCCCAGCATATCTGAACTACATCATTTCTTTAGATTTAGTAGGGTTTTGACTTGAACGCTAGTAGGCTCCCATATGTCTTCCTGAAATCTAGACCTTAGGTGCCCTCTGTGGGGACTGCTGTGTATACCTGGACTCAATACACTTACCTAGTCAGATGAATATAAACTGTCAGTCTTGGATCACCTACCCACTCCCTTCAGAGTACAGAGTCAAGTTCACTGCAAGGGAGCAGGTTGCCCAGGGAGCCCAGTGCCCTTTAAAAAATGAACAGTGAAGAGATGGCTCTACATATGCAGACTCTTGCTAGTAACTAGCAGGAGAAACCATTTGCAGTGGCATGTCTTTGGAATGATCGTTTGCCAACAGCAAGAGAGAAGTATTTTCACCTTATAGTATAATTTACCCCAAGACACAGCTCCGTCCTTTCTTACCAAGGGTGCATATGTGTACATGAGTGTGTATATCTGAAGTTTACTCATTGATTAAGAAATATTGCAGGTTCTCTAAAGCTTGTATATCTTGGGCTATTACAAATTCTATTTGACTGGGAAAATAATATTTTTAGGAACTCACTCAAAAATGGACACATGCTTTGAAATAGAAATTTAAGTGGTTTCTCCAAGTAACAACAATCATGTGTTCCTTTCTTCCCACCTCTAGAGAAATACAAAACAGGGAAACAATGTAGAGATACATGAGAGTCAATTGGTTATCACTAAGTTGTTTTAAGACCCTACAGAAGCTGCATCCATGTGGCTGCAAAGGACATGATTTCATTTTTTATGACAGTGTAGTATTCCATGGAGTGTACGTACCACATTTTGTTTATCCAGTCCTCCATGGATGGACATCTAGGTTGAGTCCATGTCTTTACTATTGTGAATAGTTCTGCAATGAACATATAGGTACCTGTGTCTTCCTGGTAGAACAATTTATATTCCTTTGGGTATACACCCAGTAATGGGACTGCTGGGCCGAATGGTAGTTCTGTTTTAAGTTCTTTGAGAAATCTCCAAACTGCTTTCCACAGCAGCTGAACTAACTTACATTCCCATCAACAGTGTATAAGCATTCCCTTTCTCTGCAACCTCGCCAATATCTGTTGTTTTTTGACTTTCTTATAATAGCCATTCTAACTGATGTGAGAACTGATGTCAGATGTTAACACAGGAACAGAAAACCAAATACCGTTTATTGTCACTTATAAGTGGGTGTGAAACCCTGAGTACGTGTGGACACAAAGATGGGACCAATAGACACAGAAGCCTACTTGAGGAGGTAGGGTGGGAGTAGGATGAAGGTCCAAAAACTACCTGTTGTCTACTATGCTCACTACCCGCGTGACAAAATCATTTGTACACCAAACCCTAGTGACACATAATTTATACATGAACAAAACTGTGCATGTACCCCCAAACCTAAAATGAAAGTTGTAAAAAAAAAAATAAACACATGTGATGTGGGAGCAGAAAGCAAAAACAAAATTAGTTGGCTTAACTGACATGTAGAGAACATTCCACCCCAAAACAGCAAAATACACAGGCTTCTCAAGTAAACATGGTTCATTTAATAAGAATAATTATATCCTAATATATTAAAAACCTTAATAAACTCAAACCATATGGAGTATATTCTTGAATTGCAATGAAATTAACTACAAATAACTAACAAAAATGATATGATTGTCCCTGAATATTTGGAAATTAAAGTAATTCTAAATACTTATGGAGAAAACTGGGAATACTCAGAAAAATCAAAACATAGTTTGTACTAAAACAAAATGAGTATGTAACATATCAAAATTATGAGGTAGCTAAAGCAGGACTTTGAGGAAAAATTATAGCATTAAAAAAAGACCTTGCAGAAGGATAATGAGACTGAGGGCTGTTGAGTCGTTAATGGGTAAGGCTGGAAGCCAGAGGGCCTCTGTGCTAGTTTACAAGGAGGCTCATATCTCCTACAGTGGAAGGGAATGACATAGCTCAGACAATTAGGAAGACCTAATTTTTAGAACTGCAGAGCTCCAGGGACATATGAATGCATGGCTGAGGTCACTGCTCAGGTGAGAAAAGGACTGAGACCAGAGACCGTGGTACAAGGACATATGTCTGGACAGACATGTCTCCTTTCCTGCCAGGCCAATACCAAGAAGGAAATGCTAATATAGCCCAGTTTGGAACATGCTGGCCCTGATCAGGGAGGAGGGACTCTATACACCCAAAGAGTTGAATGAATTAGCTGTTTTGTATGAGCAGGAACCAGAGGAGCACTCCTGGGATTAGAAATGGTGCAACCATGTTCCTAGAGCAGCCCTTAGAAACTTGAAAACAGCAATGCCCAATACTCAGCAGAATGGAAATGCCCAAATTGCCCTGTCAGAAGCCAGAGGATATGCTGAAGGAAGCAGAGATTGTATATTATGTCAGACCAAAAGACCCAAGAGAAGGTCATAGTCCAAGAGAAGGAGCAGAAAGCTCACTCTTCACTAAGACCATAAAGAATGTGCTGGGAGAGGGGCACCATCATCAATAATAAGTTTGGTGGTGGCTCTTCTGGTGGTTGGAGAGGCAGTCAAAGGAGTCCACTCAACAACATCATGAAGATGATGGAGCTCCATGCCAGGAGAAGCCAGGTTCTGGGGCTTCACCGCTAGATGCCAGGAGGTTAGAGGTGCGACCAAGGGGGTGTGGCCCACAGGGACTTGAGGAGATGGTTAATAGAGTGTCTGTAGTGGGTAAATGAATAGGCAGCCAAGAAGAATGCTGCTTAACATCTATAACTAGGAAAAAAAGTTAGAACGGAGTATCAGAAAGTCAAGCACAGTCACACTGTTAACAAGTCCAAGTTCCTGCTCAGTTGCCAGACCTCAGCCAAATTTTCAAATTCAGAATCCACTGGCATTATTCCTAGGAAGAAAGACCCTACCATACCATGGCATATGCTGTGAAAACGCCCTCAATCTTCCTCAAAGGGACCTGTAGCCATTTACTTAGGCTTCTTTATACTGAGGAAAAAAGAATAACAAGCCATTTCAAAGACTACTTAATAAAGGGCCCGAATTGACATTGATTGACCCGAATAAAAATCCAAAGATCCATCATAGCCCAGCTTTGGAGCACAGAGGGCTATGAGAGTTAGGCCAAATTAGAAATTGTGGCTAAAGTCCACCTTTCAGTGGTCTGCTAGGTCCATGAATCTACTCAAAGGTCATTTCTACAATCTCCAAGTACATAATTGGAACTGACGTCCTTAGTAATTGTAGTAACCCCCTTATTGGGTTTCTGCAATGTGAGAAAAAAACTGTCATCATGGAGAAAGGCCAAGTGGAAACCTCTGAAATTCCCTCTCACCCCTCTGCCAAAATAGTAAGTAAAAAACAATATTGTATCCTGGGAGAGACAGAAAAGACTTGTGCCACCATTAAAGATCCAACATAAGAATACAGCAAGGGTGATCCCTGTTATGTCTCCATTTAACTCATCAATTTGGCTCCTGCAAAAGCTGGACAGATCCTGGAAAAAGACTATTGATGAGCACAGATGAATAAATAATAGCTGTGTTTGCAGACAGATATGGTATAGTTGCTGGAGCAGACAAATATGGCCTCATGTCTATTGCAGGCAACCATTGATTTGATAAATGTGTTTTTCCCATTCTAATTAGCAAAGATGATTAGAAATAATTCATATTCACTTGGAAGGGGCAAAAATATTCACTTACATTTTGCCTCAGGGTCATATTAATTCTCTCACCCTCCTGTATTGTGGTCTCTCCAGCCTTCCCCAGATCCTACTTTAATTTTCCCTAATAAGTCCTTTACTGTCTTCTTTTCAGAATATCTTCACAAACACAATGAGAATCTCAGAAGCTATAGAATGTCTGACACATACAAAAAGAAAGAAAGAAAAGACAGAAAGAAAAGAAAGAGAAAGAAGAAAGAAAAAGAAAGAAAGAAAGAAAAAGAAAGAAAGAAAGAAAAAGAGAGGAAAGAAAGGAAAGAAAGAAAGAAAGACAGAGAAAGAAAGAAAGAAATCTGAATTCAGGACTAGATCTAAAATAATAAAAATCAAAAACGAATATCTGACCCTATGAACTTAATTTTTGCCTATCAAAGTATTTTTCTGTTAGCTTGTTTTCTTTAAAATAAATTGAATAAGTTAAAAGTCAGCATGACCTAGTGAAGACTGTCAACCATGGCTGCATGTTAAAATAACCTAGAGAGCTTTAGAAAGAAAAAACAGCAAGGCCTTTAACCTGCTCCCAGAATTACCGATTTCATGGTCTGGATGAGCTTAGCCATTAGAATTTTGACAAGGAAATGAGTCTCCATTTTCTCCTGTCAGAGAGAAATAATATTTTTTATCCTAGATGGTCATTATAATGATCTAAGCAGCTGGAATACTCTTGCCCATGGCTTGCTTGCTCATTTCTGCCAAAAATTGTATAAAATATTTGCTTCTCAAAGGTGCCCCACCTGTCACCATAGCAAAGGTTGTGAGCTCCCCCATGACCCTCCTGCCTTGTCCCTGCTGGATTCCTCACCAGGGCACCTTAAAATACCCCATAGAATTAGTATGTTCACTTTGCTCATGGTTCATCTTCCTCTCCTGGCATGTAAGCTCCACAAAATAGGGAATTTTTGACCTTTTGTTCCGTACTGCAATATCTAGGTCAGAAGTTGGCAAACTACAGGCCGTGGGCTAAATATGCTCCAGTGCCTGTTTTTGCAAATAAAGTTGTATTGGAATGCAATCACCCATTGTGTATATATTGCCTATAACTGTTTTTGTACTGCCCTCAGTTGCAACAGAGGCTGCCTTGTGGCCTGCAAAATCGAAAATATTTATTATCTGGCCCTGTACAGAAAAAAGTTTGCCAATCTTTGGTATAGGAAAGTATCTGGCATGTAGTATATGCTTAATAATATTCTTTCATTTATTCAACAGGGTGTCTAGCACAAAATTAGCACACAAAAATGGTCAATTTTATGTTCTGTTTGATTACAAGTATGTCCAGATCAGAGAATCAAATCCCTAGAAATTCGTAGAGTAAAATGTTCATCCAAATGAATTAAAGTAATTGGAGTAGATAGTTTCTTTACCTTCATATCTTTTTTTGTTTGTTTTGTAGAGGGAAAGGGAAATGATTAGTAAAAGGGAGGTTTCAGTTCCTAATCCTTTTGTTGCTCACTTAATTTTTGTGCTTGTTTGCAAGTTTCAATTAATATCAATCAAAATAATTCTCCCTACTTTGTAAATGGTGTTCAATTGTTACCATGCAAAAGGTGAATTAACCTAGGACGGGGGTTCAGGCCTCTGGCTGCCCCCTAAGCTTCGGGGTCTGCGTGATCATCTTCTGGCAATCTAGAAGGGATGCTGTTTGGAAGCTGTGCTTACCATCATTACGCTGACATTGATTTTTAAATTGTCCATTAGTGTATTCATAAGGGAGCATATGCTTTTTTTGCTAGAAGCAAAACAGAACTTTATTAACAGAACCCTGACTTTTCCTTTCTTCTTCCACCTTTAAAGCTTGGTCTTTTATGAGATATGGACTTCTTTGCAGTCTGACAAACTTTGTAGACACTTCTCAAAATAAAGTTTATAAATGCTAAAGGAAGAAGAAGGAGAAAGCCATGAGATGACAAAGGCAATAAATTATATTGAAACTGTAGTACTAGAAATTGAAGTTTTTAAGCAAAACTTTAAAAGCAACAAATATTTGATATAATAACTTCTGTGATTCTGTATTTAATGTGGTGGATATAATAACAATTATAATTTCAAAGTCATGCTGAGAGTAAACTTTTCAAGATATTTGGAGCCACTGTGAATGTGATATTAAAATACTGAAAGTCATAATTTCTGCTGGTGAGACCGTCACAGGTATTGCTAATGCAACTGTGGCTGCTGCCTGGATGCATAATGGAAGTAGAGGCTAAATTTCGGTTAGCAGAAAAGGAAATCAGATGTAATTTTTCCCTTGTATTCTTTCTAACTCTTTTTCTACTTGAAGCATTAAATTTACTTGTGCACTCTCTAGCCTGTTTCTTCCTCAGAAAGTATCCTCCACCTTTTGCCCATTTAACATTCTGACAAATTTGAGTCCATACATTTTTATTACTCCAAAAGAGGTACCTTTTAAACTGTACCTTTATCAGGAGTTGGAGATCAGCCTGGCCAACATGGTGAAACCCCGTCTCTACTAAAAACACAAAAAATTAGCAGGGCGTGGTGGCACATGCCTATAATCCCAGCTACTTGGGAGGCTGAGGCAGCAGAATTGCTTGAACCGGGGAGGCAGAGGTTGCGGTGAGCAGAGATCACGCCATTACACTCCAGCCTGGGCAACAGAGCAAGACTCCATCTCATAAATAAATAAATAAATAAATAAACTGTACCTTTAGAGTCCCAGTGAGATCTTATTTTCCTTCTAAAGAAATTGCTGACAGTGGCCCCTAATGTCATATACTGAAGTACTAGCTCCTGAAATCTTAGCACAGGTGTACTAGGAATTCTACTTATGTTTATAATTAGTCTCGATCCACATTAGTCAATTTGGCATAGCTAGTGCACAGTCTGAAAGCTGGTGAGATAGATGTAGAGTTGCAAAATTTTCAATTTATCTATTAGGCAGCAGGAGGCTACAGTGGGCCCTATGCAAAACAATTCATGTAGCATTATGGGAATTTGTCCTTTGCACTTCCTGGCTATCTTGCTTTTATGTGCATTTATTACTAAGAAGTTGTACTCATGGAGTATTGTATTATCATTGTTGATAAAATAATAATGATATTTTGCAGTCACCATGCATCTTTCTTTGTTCCCTGACTTTGTTTGCACAGGAAAATTAAAGAAACAAATTGCCGTTTAGTACTTTTCCACCTCTGCAGTAAAAAATCGTCAGGAAAGCACAAGCTCAGAATTATCAATGAGCAGATGCTAACAGGTTATGAAACTATGCAAATCAAAGTACACTTGAACAAATGAACTGAAGTTGCTGCCTTGTCAACTTAGACATAGCTGGTGGAACTCAGTAATGGATGTTAGGGAAAATGTTGAAAATAGAAATGTCTGTAACTTTTTTTTTCTCTAAACCGAGCCTTTTCTGGGTGGGAAGAAGTACTGATAAATTTACAAACTCTGTTTTGCTTACCCAGTGACATTGTCCTCCCCTTACATTCTTGCTGCAAGATACCCATTTTCCTTTCTCCCATGAAATGAGATTTTAGGCACATAAACTTATGCTGATCCAGGAGATGTGAGATAAGGCAGGGCTAAGAGTTTCCCAACTGATGTCAGTCGTTAAAACAAAGAAAAAATACTGATAGCAATTTTATATCATGTAAAATAGATGTCCCCTAGGTTTCCATCTACATCTAACATTTTATGATTCTAATATAATCTTACAAAATAATAATAAATGGAAAACTGGAGAGCAATGATTATTTGATTAGAGTAGTAGGAAAACACTGAAAATTACTATGTACCAGGATTTCAGATGGGTATTGCGAAATAAGAATAAAAAAGATATCTCGCCCCCAAGGGCTTGAAAGTGAAATAAAAGAGACAAACAATAATCTGTTCATTAAAAAACTGTGTGATGAATGCCTTGAGAGAGATAAGTACAGGTTGCTAAAGCAGCAAAGACGTTCAAAGAAGACTTCCTAGCGGGTGTGGTACTTGAAGTAAGATGAGATGTAACGAACTAGAAGACTCTGTCTAAATGAAGAGAGGTATGGAGGCTTCCTATTTAGAGAAAACAGTAGGAAGTCGGAAGAGATGAGCACATTAAAGAAATGATGATAATTTAATATGGCCACAGGAGTCCACAAATTGTACAGGTGAACATATGTCCCCCATATATTCACCTATACAATTTAAAGCAGAAACATATGTATAGTCCAGTGGCGATCTGGGGCCAAGATGTTCTGTGAGTAATAAAGACTGTTCTCTTATCTGGAGACCTCATATTTCCTGTAAGAATCCATCTGTCTGTCTATCTAATCATCGTTTCTGTCTATCTTTCTATTTTATCTATACTTCTTTCTAGCCATGATGCTATTAAGAGAATTGTTGGCCTGGAAAATAGATCTGGAGAAAGTACAATGTTGCCGCTTAGAGAACTACCAAGTTTAAGACAGGTAAAGAAACAGAGGATTAAGTAAGAAGTCTCAAATTAATCCCTTTGAAGTATCAGAAAGAGACAACACAGGATGTGGAAAAGAGACACTATTTGAAGAGACTATGAAAGGGAATTGTCTATGATTGTTCAAAAGCCAATCTTCAGATTCAGAAATCCCAGTGAATCCTATGCAGGAGAAATAAAAAGAAATCTATACCTAGAAATATGAGACTGAAAACGAAGAACAACGTGGACAAACAGTCTTTGCCTTTCAGAGGGAAAAAGACAGAATATCTGCAAAGAAATGATCATTAGCTTAAGAGCTACTTTCTCAATCATTTGAATGTTTTAAATGCATTCATTTCAGATTTTTCTTCTAAATAGCAATTCTATTTGTTTCCTACACTAAAAATAAATAAATAAAACAAAAATCATTTCATGGCTGAATCTTTATTTTCACTTAAGCAAATACTCAGGAAGACAGCTGCAGGTGGAAGCTATGACTATGCTGAGCTCTCAGCGGGGGCTAAGGCAGGCAGGGCCCTGGCCGATGGCAGATCATCCCTCAGGCGTCCCTGTACTCCACTTTTCCTGAGCGCCGGGAGAGCTGCACACACCACCCCACGAGTAGGCCCCTAAAACAGAGCCAAGTCACTTCAGGAGTGGCATCCATCTCAAGAGATTCTGTGAAGGGAGGTCACAACCCAGCAACAGGCGGGGGCCAAACATCCCTCATTCGCGCTGCTCCTTTGCGATTCAGAATCCCTGCTTCCTCACCGTGAAACGTCATGTGAGCTCCAAGTGTCCAGCTCAGCACGGAATAGAGCTCCTTGCGGTCAGCACTGTGCATGGGCACCATCAGCGTGGCCACAGACAGTGAACTTTAAAACTAGGCAACAAATAAAACCTGAAGACAACACTGCATGAATACTGGCAAGATTTGGGATGGCCTGTGCCATCAAGGTGCTTCTGGAGAAGTTAGAAAACTCAGAAAGGAACATCATGAGCTCAGAAAGTACGCAGCAAATGAGAAGAATGTGGAACAGGAGAGACAGAAAAAGGGCAAAAAATGAAAACACTAACTGAGGGGTGCTCTGAGTCCAGGTTATAATGTATATTACCCAGCATATACTGTATATAAATGTATATTAAAACTTCAAAGCAAAGACAAGTTGAAGAAAACAAAAGTCCCTAAACCGAGTCGATTAAGACACTCACAGTTGCAGGTGGTGGATAAGACAGCAACGGACCCCACTTGGCCATGGCAAGTGGACAAGATGGTCTCACCAACCAGGTCGACCACTGTATGAGAGCTCACCGGTTGTACTAATTTCCTCTAAATCCTCTCAGATTTACTTCTGGCCTAGAAGTAGATAATCTGTATCTGGTAGCATTACAGGCTTTTTCTGTTGACTTTGCTGTGGTAGAAAATAGATCAAATACAAAAGAGGACTTAACAAATACAATCAGACTCACATTAAATCCTTGGAGTGATACCCGAACTGAACAGTAACTCCACCTTCTTAAGACATACATGGGCTCTTGTGCATAAGGCTCTGTAATAATTTTTACCACTGTAATCAAACTAGGTCACCAAAAAGATAGTGAGAGATAAAATTTATCCTCAGAAAACTTCAAAAAGGCCAGTTTACCCAGCCAAACTGAGAGCTGGATTTCAGACAATAAGAAAGAATTTGTAACAGAAGACATCATCATAAAACTTTTTTTCTTGAAATGGTAAGTGACCATTACATCTAGAATGGCCATTTAGTTTTCAGATAAATTTCTATTTCAAATAAACGTAAGCCTAACAACCTAGTTTTTTTAAATCACTATTATGGCTAATTTAATACATTTAAATTCCACTTTTATGTAAAAGGCAAATATTAAGCCAACAAATTAATGTAATAGATTTTTTTAAAAAAACATTTTATTTAAAAAAAAAAAGTTTTTTAGGTCTGGCATGATGGCTTATGCCTGTAATCTCAGCACTTTGGGAGGCCGAGGCAGGCGGATCACCTGAGGTCAGGAGTTAGAGACCAGCCTGGCCAACATGGTGAAACCCCATCTCTACTAAAAATACACAAATTAGCTGGGCATGGTGGCACACACCTGTAATCCCAGCTACTCAGGAGGCTGAGGCAGGAGAATCGCTTGAACCCGGGAGGCGGAGGTTGCAGTGAGCCGAGATGGCACCATTACACTCCACCCTGGGCAACTCCATCTCAAAAACATAAAAATAAATAATTTTTTAATTTAGAAAGAATTTCAAGCTCAGCAAAAGTGATACACTCTTTATTCAGATTTACCTACTGTTAACATTTCTGGTAGAGTGTTTTTATTTATCGTTTGCATGCATTTATTCTGTCCCCTCCCACACGCACACACATCTAGGAGCGGGGAGCATCTGAGAGTAACTTATATACATCATGGCCCTTTACTACTAAATACTTTAGTGTGTATTTACTAAAACTGAGAACGTTCTTTTACGTTACCACAGTACAACTGCCAACTTCATAAACTTAACATTAATACAGAACTTTAATCTGCTGTTCCTATTCCCATTTTGCTACTTGATTTATTAATATTCTTTAAGGCATTTTTTTTCTCTCCAGTCCAGAGTCCAGTGCAGGGTAAGACTGTGCAATTACTTGTCATGTCTCTGTAATAGGTTTTTTAACTAAAAAATTATTCAGTAGGGTATGAAAATAAATGTTTATTATAATACTTGAGAAGTATTACATGATCTTGAATTTCCTTCAAAGGCATTATATAAATTCATTTCTTTTATTCACATAACCATACAAACAGTGCTATGCATATGTGGTCAAATGATTTTAGACAAAGTCATCAGGATACTTCAATAGGGAAATAACAGTCTTCTTCAACAAATGATGTGGGAATAATTGATATCCATGGAGTGAGAGGATGAACATTTATTTACTTTCTCATTTCATATACACAAATTAACTCAAAATTTATCACTGAGTTAAATGTAAGGGCTAAAAGCACAAAATTTCTTTGAAAAACCATTTTTTAAAAACTTCGTAATTTTGTGGTAGGCAAAAATTTCTTAGCTAGCACATAAAAAAGCATGAACCATAAAAGAAAAAAGTTTATAAATGGGGTTCCATACATTTCTGTTCTTCAAAAACCACCACTAAGAAAATGAAAAGACAAGCCACAGACTAGAAAAAAAATCTGCAACACATAAATCTGACAAAGAATTTGTATCTAGGATATCTGAAGAACTCTTACTATTGAGTTGTCACTCAATAAACAAATCAATGAAAAATGGGCAAAAGATTCAAATGGACATTTCACAGAAGAAAATATACAAATGACCGCTAAGTACAGGAAAAGACAGTCAACAATATTTGTCATCAGGATCATACAGCTTAAATCCACCACACACCAAGTCTGGGTTAAGACGAACAACTGCAACTCTTGTACACTGTTGGTGGGAGGGTAGATGCTGTAAGTACTTTGGAAAAACTTAACCATACAACACAGCAACTGCACTCCTGGGTACTTCCCAAGGAGAATAAAACATATTCAGCAGACACTGAGTACATTTCCAATGTTCATAGCAGGGTTTTTTGTAATAGCTAAGACTGGAAACAACTCAAATGTCCACCAGCAGGGGACGGCTGACTTGTGGCACAGTCGCTCGCTGAGGCGCTCCCAGCAGAAAGAAGCGTCAAATGACATGCACACCTCAAAAGCACCGAGTGAAGGAAGCCGGAAACAGAGAACACGCGGAGCACTCCATTTCCAGCAGCCCCCCATTATCTGCGGCTCACGCTCCACGGTGTCAGTTACCCGTGGTCAGCCACAGTCTGAAAAGATTAAATGGAAAATTCCAGAAATAAACACTTTGTAGGTTTTAAACTGCACACCATTCTGAGAAGTATGATGAAATCTCGAGCTGTCCCACTCTGTCCCGCTTAGGGCACGAGTCTCTTCTCTTTGTCCAGCATGTCCACACCGTATACGCCACCTGCCCTGAGTCACTCAGTAGCCACCTTAGTGGTCAGACCGACTACTGCAGCATCACAGTGCTTGAGTTCAGGTGACCTTCCCTTTATTTAATAATAGCCCCACAGCACGAGAGTGGTGATGCTAACACACTGTTATAACTGATCCATATTATTATTAGTTATTGCTGCTAGTCTCTTACTGTGCCTAATTTATAAACTTTATCAAAAGTATGTATGTACAGGAAAAAAAGATCATATACAGAGGGTGTGGTACCATCTACAGTTTCAACCATCCACTGGGGGTCTTGGGACGCATGCCCCACGGATAAGAAGGGACTCCTGTATATGAAACTTCGGGAAATCAAATCCCATCTACAGTGACAGGAAGCAGATGGGTGCCTTCCTGGAGCAGGGGCTGAGGAACTTCTGCCAGCGATGGTTCCCTTCTGTACCTTAACTGTGGTGATTATCACGTTAAGTATGTAAACTTGTCACATCTTTTCAAACCGTACACTTACAATGGTTCATTTGACTCTATATAAATTATATCTCAAAGTTGAACCTTTTAAACAGAGCAACAGAAGACAAAGTGATGGCAAGGGGCCACTCTGAGTTGAGAGGGCAGGAATGGCCTTGCTGAAAAGGTGGCATCGGGGACTTAAATGAGAAGAAAGATGCCCTAAAGAGGGTGTACATTTGGCCAATGTGTACAGTCTCTAACTCTTCATTTCTCAATGTTCTGTAACTGTGTGAGGACATAAGATTGAGCCAAGTCACCCAATTTTATTTTAACATTTTTAACATTGAATCCCCCATAGTTGCTATGGACAACAGGAAAACAATATGCACTATACTTCCAGGCCTTTCCTAAAAGCAAACTCCAGCTCCCACCCTAGTTCCACGTCTTGCTTTGTGTTCAGAAATTCTCATGTGAACCAGTAAACTCAACAAACCCTTTACTATTTAAGAAGGAACAACCCTTGATCTCTACTCACTCCTCCCCAAAGTAACGGTCCACCCTGTTCCTTCCGCCCTCTGAATACACTCCTGTTGTCCCCACCCTCCAGCCCAACTCCTCCCCACTGGCAAATGTCCTCTTTCACACAGACACACTTTACAGAGGACTCTGGGAGAAAGCGAGAGCTTCTGTGCCCCAGGCCAAATAACAGGTTTAAAACTCGTGTTTTGCTCCTGCCTGAGCTTCGGAACACGACAACTACCAGCAGATACATCCCCACGTCCACTGTCTACACGGATGTGGCACACACAGCGGGTTCCGGATCTGTAAGAACGCAGAGTTGGTGAGGTCTCTTGCACACGCGCCACCAGGCAGGCTGCCGTCCTACATGTCTCCCGCCAGCTCTGCCCAGATACTGTTTCTACATTAATGCTGCAAAGTGCTCTCATTTTCATCATGTTGAGCTTCAGCCTAGAATTACTGAACTGAACTTTATCTCTATCCACAGAAGAACTACAGCCTGCGGTTAGAAAGGTCCCTGTGTGGGCACGTCCTGGGGGAGGCCGGCCAGAGCAGAGCTGTCCCGGACGGCGCCTCCCAAGGACAAGGTCGAGGGAGCTGGCTCGTACTTCAGCAGCCCCTGAACCGCCCGGCCCTAAGCCGTCCTGCACCACCCATGGGGCCGACTCCCGGCTGCAACTCTTTCCCCTCACCCCGCCGCCGACAGCAGAAGTTTCAGGGGACAAGGGGGACCTGCCAGAGCGAGAGTGGAGGGTGGAATACAGTCTAAAAGGAACATACAAGTGTTAAGTGACAGGCTCTATGGAACTGCCGGAGCAGAGCCCAGCAGAAGACAAGCGTTTAAGAAGACAAAGCAGTAGAAACCCCGTTTTCCTGACAGGGCGTTCGGAGCCCTTCACAATCTGACCCCAGCCTACTCCCTGGAGCCAGGTGGGGATGCCCAAAGGCCTCACACTCCCCCCGCTGTCTGGTGCTGGGGCCTGAAGCAAGCAGCAAACCCCCCCACCCGTGGGCTCCCACGCCCTCATCTGTGAAGACATCACCAGGCCGCTCGCAGGTCTGAGGGGAAATTAGAGGGTAATGGCGTCAGCACCGGCCCAGGGAAGGCAGGACGGCGACAAGCACAGTGGGTTCTCTTGTTTGGCCCTCTCCGCCCTGGGCCATGCAGAGGCTGGAGCAGGGCCAGGTCTACACCCGGTCCGTCCACTCCTCCCTGAAGCCGCCACTACACACAGCGCTCGGTAAGCAGGGGCCCTCCCCAGGCATCGTGGAATGAACGAGGAGCATTTCACTTGCTCTACCCTCTGGAATAAAAGGGGGTCAGTAAGGGAAAAAAGACTCCAGCAAGTAACTCAAGAACCAGAAACAATAACTGACAATTTCTGATTAAGTCCTTGGACTCTGGTAACCTCCTAATGTTTCTCCCTAGTGCGCGGGTTCTCAATCAGGGACAATTGTGCCTCCAGGGGACATTAAGCAACATCTGGAGATGATTTTGATTGTCAGGACTGGGTGGGGGTGGGAAGGTGCTACTGGCACTTTGTGGGTAGAGGCCAGAGATGCTGCTAAACATCCTACAATGGAAATGTCAACAGCACCAAGGCTAAGAAACCCTGCCCTAGTTAGCGCTGAGCAGTAAAACCAAAGGTGCCTGTACACCAGCAAAGAGGGCCACTGGGGAAGTGGTGTGCCACTCTGCAGCTAACCCGAGATGTGCAGGAGTCCCAAAAGGCAGCGGCTGCTCAGGGCAAAAAAGCAAAGGAAACCAGGCAAAATCCCTGGGAACTTTAAAAATAGAAAAGTCAATCGGCTAGAGGCCGCAGCGGGTGAGGAATCTGCTGCCCTGGCCTGGATGTGGAGCGCGATTCCAGAATATCACTTGAAGTCATTTCATGGAATACAATCACAGTGCTTACGCGCTGCCTGACACAGCTGAAGGCAATTCCACACACCAACTCCTTTCACCTTGCCAATAATGGGATAAAGCAGGTACTATTCCCATCCCCATTCTGCCGAGAAGGACGCTGAGGCACAGTGAGATCAAGTAACCTGCCAAAGTCACACAACTGAACAAGCAGTAGGCAGGGCAGAACACACACCTGGCAGTCTAGAAGCTCTCGGTCACGTGGCATCCACACCTGCAGACCTCATGCTCACCACCATGCAGGATCCACGCACTCAACACACATGGGCGCCACCCCCCCGCCCTGCAGCCCATGTGCTCAGCACAGCACTCTAACCACCAGTCCACACTGCCTCCCTTCCTGTGACACAGAATTCGGACCCCACCTTGTATAGACCAATTTGTAAAGTAGCTCTCCCTGTGCTGAGCTGAAATCTGGTACCCACCTGGCCCTGGTTTCTCTCTTTCCTTGGCACTGCTCACCGTCTAGCTGCCCATCACATGTCCCAAGACAGCCTCATGCTCCCTGCCAGGTCGCAAGTCAAACAATGCTACTTCCCTCAACCATTTCTCACAGGTCATCTTTTCAGGAACTCTTGCTGTTCTGGGGATGCTCCTCTGGATATACTTCAAAATCCAACAACAACCCTCTTATAATGTGGACTCCCCTCCACAGCAGAACACAACACCATCAACACAGCATGTCTCCCCAGGACAAACAGAAAGACTCTGAAGCAGTGAGGTGGAACCCTGCCCTTGAGGGCCAATCAACGTCAAATGACTTGCCATCTCCTAATAGAGCAAAAAGTGGTCAGTGGCTGTAAAAACCTCCACGTCTGACACAGTGGGAAATGGAGGAAGCATTACTACTTTTTAAATTATTATTATACTTTAAGTTCTGGGGTACATGTGCAGAACGTGCAGGTTTGTTACACAGGTATACACGTGCCACGGTGGTTTGCTGCACCCACCAACCCGTCATCTACATTAGGTATCTCTCCTAATGCTCTCCCTCCCCTAACAGGCCCACCAACAGGCCCGGATGTGTGGTGTTCTCCTCCCTGTGTCCATGTCTTCTCATTGTTCAACTCCCACTTACGAGTGAGAACCTGCAGTGTTTGGTTTTCTGTTCCTGTGATAGTTTGCTGAGAATGATGGTTTCCAGCTTCATCCATGTCCCTGCAAAGGACATGAACTCATCCTTTTTTATGGCTTCATAGTATTCCATGGTGTATATGTGCCACATTTTGTTTATCCAGTCTATCAGTGATAGGCATTTGGGTTGGTTCCAAGTCTTTGCTATTATGAACAGTGCTGCAATAAACATACGTGTGCATGTGTCTTTATAGCAGAATGATTTATAGTCCTTTGGGTATATACCCAGTAATGGGATTGCTGGGTCAAATGGTATTTCTGGTTCTAGATCCTTAGTCCCTTTGGAGGAAAAGAAATGAACCCATTCTTACCACCAACCACCATGTTGCACATGACAAACAGAAAATCAAAAATTAAGTGTTACAGTAACTGAAACCAAGGAAAACCTTTCTTGTCTTAACACTCAACTACAAAAGCATACCTCCCCCCTCGCCCAGATGAAATGGAAACACTTTAATGGAAGGGTTATTTCCATTCTAAAAGTTACTTTATACAAGGAAAAGGAAAAAGCCCTAGACCCAACTTCGCAGGCTTCACAGCCCCTCACACTGTCAGCATCCCTTTCCTGGTGCTTGAAAACATAAGAAATAAATTAGAGAGCAAACCACAACAAAGTCGGTTTGAAGCCTCTCAGCCATGCCTACGACAAACCATTTCTCAGTGTGACAGGTACTGTTATTACCAACACACAATCCAATTTTCTCTGAGAAAATGACATGGTTGAGAGTCTGCCTCTCATTCCTAAAATGTATTCAGCAGGAGTCTTGATGGGAGATTAAACACAAGGAGACGTCCCCCGAGCAGCTGAGGGGCGGGATCAGGAGAGAAGAGACTGTCCCCACTTATTTTCTTAGTACCCCTTCTCTAACTTTAGCTAGCTTGCTTGCATCAAAGTAAAACTGGTTTTCTAACTAGTCTTTTATGAGGATTAAAACGTTGTCTGAGCTTATTATTTTTCAACTCAAGTGACTATCCAGAACTACTATGATGGCTTAAATGTGGCTTACAGGCGTCACTTGCTTTGGTTTCTTATCACCTATGCTTGTTTCACCTTCAGAGTGAGGAAAAAGCAGAAAAAAAGAGAAACGTGAAATTACCAATAAATGTATTCTTTCCATCTCATCTCAAAGTAAAGCAACAGTGCTTACTCTAATAATTCTGTACCTCAGAAATATATACATTTAGCCTAATAGTGTCTTTTTTGTGTGTTTTTTTGGTTTTTTTTTTTTTTTTTTGAGACAAGGTCTCACTCTGTCACCCAGGTGGGACTACAGTGGTGCAATCCTAACTCCCTGTAGCCTCCACCTCCCAGGCTCAAGCAATCCTGCTGCCTCAGTCTCCCAAGTAGCTGAGACTACAGGTGCATCCAACACATCCAGCTAATTTTTTAAATTTTTCTTTTGTAGAGATGGGGTCTTGCTATGTCAACCAGGCTGGTTTCCAGCTCCTGGTCTTAAACAATCCTCCTTCCTCAGCCCCCTAAAGTGCTGGGATTACACACATGAGCCATGAAGGCCGGCCTGCATTCTTAATCAATTTCCACAAGGAAGAGTAAGTAAACATTTTTCTAAGAAATAAAGAAAAGATGTCATAAATAATAACATTTTAACATTTTAAAATAAAATCCCTTTACTTACAGAAAAGAAGCAGATTATCCCACACAACAGTCTGAAAGAAAGCTCTCATCAGCGAATCTAGCACAGACAAAACATTTTAAAATGCCCTATTCATCTAATACTGTTTTCAAAGTAATGACAGAAATAGCATACATCACTGCTTTATTTCACTGCTTATAGAGCACAGACCAACCTTTTTTTTTTTTGAAATAGGGTGTCCCTTTGTCGCTAAGGCTGGAGCGCAGTGGTGCAATCACAGCTCACTGCAGCCTCGACCTTCTGGGCTCAAGGGATCCTCCCACCTCAGCCTCCCAAGTAGCTGGGACCACAGGTGCGTTCCACCACAGCTGGCTAATTTTTTTGGTAGATGGGGTCTCCCTGTGTTGCCCAGGCTGGTCTCAAACTCCTGGGCTCAAGCAATTCTGCCTTGGCCTCCCGAAGTGATGGGATTACAGAGGCGTGAGCCCCTGCACCCAGCTTAACATGACTTCCTAAAATCAGATTCTGAACTCAAGGTTTGTTTACTTTCGCAGTTTAACAAATATTTACTGAGCCTATCTTTTGAAATCCTTCCTTCAGTAAGATTATAGAGTTGGTCTTCAAATCTAAAGTCAAACCCCCCAGACAGCAGACAAAGGCCCCTCAGGTCTCACCCCAACCTGTACCCCCGCCCTCCGGCCTCCACATCTCTGTGGTCTTGCAGACTCTGAGCATCTCTGAGGGATGTCTCTAGTGCCTGGAAAGCCCTCACTCACCACCTCACCAGCCTGGCAACCCCTCCTTCCCTGACTCCTCTGTGAGAGCGCAAAGCCCCCAGGCCCCATAGCCTGCCGTGCATCTCGTTCACCAGGTCAGCAGCATTTACTGAGCACCTCGCATGGGCCAGGAGTGTTCTAAGCACCACGGGTCAGCAATGAATCTGACATATCAAAATGGTCGCCCTCTTGAGATGTGTTTCAGGTAGGGAGACAGAACTATTAAGTATAAATAACTAAAATATATAGCAAATTAGGAGATGAATGTTATGGAGAAAAAAATAAAGCAAGGCTGGGCAAAATGACGTGGGAAAAAGCGCCGAGGTGCAGTCTAGAGCAGGGTGGTCAGGACGCCTCACTAGAAGATGGCATTTATTGCACTTCGCCCATAATGTGTTTGTTACCAACTGAAGGTTTGAGGAAACGGCACCAAGCAGGTCTGTCAGCGCCATTTTCCCAAAAGCACACGCTCACTTCGTGTCTCTGTATCAGCATATTTTAGCAATAACATATTTTTTAAATGAAGGTATGTACACTGGTTTTTTAGACATAATGCTATTATACACTTAAACCATAATATAGTGCAAACATAGCCTTCATGTGCACCAGGAAACCAAAAAATGTGTGTGGCTCACTTCATTGCACCATTCACTTCACTGGGATGGTCCGAAACTGAACCCACAAAATCTCCAAGTTATGCCTGTAGTAATATCTATCACATATCAAGTACTACACTTCAGCCTGTGTAAGGGTGACCTAATAATTCCATGAGACGCTTACGCCTGGCCCATCCTGCACCTGAGGACGCAGGGGCTGGGGAATGAGTGCAGTCACGATGCTAGGAAGCGGCTCAGCCCACGTGGAGACCCACGCAGCTTGGCCCTGACGCCTATACTCTTAACCACGACAAACTAAAAATAATACTGCTCAAAACGCTTCCCACAAAAGCCAAAAGCCAATATGATCGATTCTAAAAAAAACACTTAATTCAGAAAACAAAGTGATCCCTTATCACTTTTGATACAGTGTGAGAAATCAGCAGATCTCCTGGATGACGTTCTGGCGGTCAGCAGTCTTCTGGACACTTTCCGGACACCAGCCCACAGTCATTCCCTCCCACAGCCCACTCAGAACTGCAACTGGAAATCCAAACGCATTCAAAAACTGGCTAAGGCAGGTCAGCATTTTAGCCAGAAAGTATCTGCTTCACTCAAGCCAGCAGATTCTCAAATCACAATCATTTGACTCAAAAAGCACCATTAGTTACAGACTCCTGTGTATGCCAGATTATGCCAGAAAAGCATACATGTCCTGGTAATGCAATAAATCTTGACCTAAGCTAGAAGAGTGTCAAAAACCTAAATACAGAAAAAAGAGTGGGTATCGAAACAGACACAGCATGGAGCATCAGGCCTCATTACAAATCATGTTTTTAAAGAATTTCAGTCGCTTAAGAAAGGGCTCACAACATAATGCTGTTAATACATAGCATATGAAACATAAATACAAGAGGACATATCTATCCACCTATTTACAGTTCATGAAAATAAAAGGGAAAGATGAAGTAATAACATAAACAGCGACAACCAGGCGCGGTGGCTCACACTTGTAATCCCAGCACTTCGGGAGGCCGAGGCAGGCAGATCACCTGAGGTCAGGAGTTCGAGACCAGCCTGGCCAACATGGCGAAACCCCGTCTCTACTAAAAATACAAAAATCAGCCAGGCGTGGTGGCGGGCACCTGTAATCCCAGCTACTTCGGAGGCTGAGGCTGGAGAATTGCTTGAATCCAGGAGGCAGAGGTTGCAGTCACTGGAGATTACACCACTGCACTCCAGGCTGGGTGACAAGAGCGAAAACTCTGTCTCAAAAAAAAAACAAAACAAAAACAGCGACTACAAAGGAGTAACTTCTCCTTTGTAAAAGTGTTTTTTACATCTCAAATTTTCTAAATTGAACATGAATTTTAGATTGGAAATCATGCACTCTGCTCATCTGTAGAGTCTAAGTTCTCTTCGGTGCACCTCTGACCACCCTCCTCCCTTCAACCCCGTCTCACGGCACACCTTGCTTCCCACCCGGGGTCAGCCACCGTCTATTTATTCAGTTCACTATATCGACTGAATTTCTCAATAGCCCGCAACCTTACCTTGCCGGATAAATGTATATTTTATGATGCCAAATAAAAATCTCCATTTTAAACCACCTCTGCAGATGGAAAGGCCCTGTCTTTATGCTGGTAAAAGAATGTCACAGCACATACCATTATAAACGCCACACGTAACCCATTCATCTCCTGAAATTTATGTCAGAAAGATTGGAAATAAAATCTATATTAACAGCAAGTGCTTAATATCAAATGCGGTATTAAAAATAACAAAAATTTTCATTCCTGTAATACTAAGAGGCTCTCTTAACTCCATTTAACAGACACACAGTGCCACCTATCAGCCATCCTCTGTAACTGCAGGTGCAAGGTAAAGAACCGCTCATAGACATGCCTTCCCCTCTCCCTGCTATTTACATGCCAAAGACCACCACAGGTTAAGAGGACAGCCCTATTAGAAGCCCCTGCTGTTTCTATATTGTGTTCTTGAAAAGTTTTACTTCCTTAGGAACTGGAGCTTTTTACTGCTGAACTGAACCCAGAGATTGCAATCCCAGCGAAGTCTGAACAAATCTATGTCTAAAATACGGGCTGTTATGATACCCAACAGTGTCCTAGGAGAAATCCAAGCCAATCTCCAGGTCCAGCCCTCAACAGCCGCCTGATGGGAAGAGACATAACAATTAATGGCAAATTTCTTACAAGGATTACCCACACGTCTTCTTTCCTCTAACTACCTCCTCTTCGGCCTGCAACTGCTGTGATTTGGCCTCTGCCCAGCTTCTCTCACAAGGCTGCTCACCCCTGTGTGGTGAACCCAAGGGCTACCTCTTGACCCTCATCCTGTGTGACCTCTCAGTGCCACTTAACAGGGCCCCCTGGCTTCTAGAGTTTTCTTTCTCTTCTCAGGCGACTCCTTCTTGACTTCCGTGACAGTTAATTTTGTGTGTCAACTTGGCCAGGGCACAGCACCCAGTGATTTAACCAGACACTAACCGAGGTGTTGCTGTCAGGGTGTTTTGTGGATGTGGTCAACATTAAGGAAAGATGACCCTCTATAATGTGGTTGGGCCTCATCCAGTCAGCTGAAGATCTCAAGAACAAAAACTGAGATTTCCTCGAGAAGGAATTCATTTCCCCGAGAAGGAATTCTGCCTGAGTTTCCAGCCTGCCAGCCTTCCTACAAATTTTGGACTTGCCAGCCTGAAAGCAAGCCAATTCCTTACATTTTATAGATAATGTAGAGATAGAAATAGTGGCCAGGTGTGGTGGCTCACATCTGTAATTCCAGCACTTTGGGAGGCTCGAGCCCAGGAGTTCGAGACCAGCTTGGTCAACACAGCAAGACCCCATCTCTTAAAAGAAAAAGAGATCGTGAGATACCCGCTATTGGTTCTGTTTCTAAAGAGCCCTGACTAACAATCTCTCTGCCCTTCTTTCTCTGCTCATCCTTAAAAGCCTGACCTTTCTGCTGGTTCAGGCTAAGGCCGTCTTGTCCTCACCTGTTACTCTCCCTTGGTGACATCCATTTGCAGACCTTTCATTTCTGTGAGCACACCTTTGGTCCTCAAATCTCTATGTCTGGCCCAGACCTGCAAAGCCTCCAACCTACAAATGCAACTCAACATCTCCACCAAACTAGATCTAGTCTTCCGCTGCCTCAGAAGGGTGCCCCGCTCCTGTATCTCCTGTCAGTAAATGACCCCCCACCCTCCTAGATAAGCAGCAAGAACCCTGAACCTTTTCCTCCCACTTGTCAAGCTCTCACCTATGCTCTGGAGCCTCTCTCCTCTCCCGGCTTCCTCCATGAGCCACCTACAGCCACTTCCCAATACAGGCACTGTCCTGCCTCTGCGTGGTTCTACAGTGGCCTTCCTAAATCCAGTCTCCATCTCCAATCCACATCCCCTGGTGCAGCCCAAGCACTTTTCTAGAACTTAAGTTGGGTCACATTACACTCCTGCAGAAAATTGTCAACGCCCTCAGGATAAAATCTAACTCCATGCGAGGCCCCTCCAGGTGGATATGCCTGTCTTTCCTCGGAGCCCCAGTTGGCAATGTTGGCCCCTGTGCCTTCCCCATAAGCCCTGTGTAATCTGGCCCCAAGCACATCCCAGGCTTCACACTCCCCATTCCCACATTCAAACATGAGGTCCAGGGAGGCTAAATTCCCTCCAGACCCACAGGATCGCGCTACTCTCCTTCACCCTAGTGCTGCAACACAGATCCTGCTGCTGGAAAACCCTTCCCCTCCCATGCTGCATTCCCTGAACTGACCAGGTCACACCAGCCTTCACTCCGACCTGAGTTGATCTGAGTCGTCCTGTAGGATGGCCGTCAGCCACATATGGCAATTTTAACTCACAAAAGTTAAAGTTTAAAAGGCTGTTCCTCAGCTGCACCAGTCACATTTCAGGGGCTCAGTGGCCACCCTGGGCAGCACAGAGACAGACACTGCCATCACCACTGAGCACCATTGGAGAGCACGGACTCGGATTCTCATACTCCTGTCCACACGGAGGCCCACCCTGGGCTCTTGCGGCTCTCCCAGCACAGCCCTGACATGCCCTGGCTGCTCAGCACCCGCGGTGGGACCTGGCGCTCTGCAGGTGCTCACTGACATTACTCGATGTTGCCACAGTGGCAGAGCTCCGCCATCCACATCTCCACCGGCCTCCCACGGCAACAGGTGTCTTAATGTTCTTGTGAGCTGGGCAAGTCAATGTCCAATTTCCAGTTGTTAACATCAGCCTTCCCTTCCCACTAAGACAAAATCATGCCATTTGGGGATTTATCAACAGGAAGCATCAAATAGAAGTTATGAGGGATATTAGTGTGGAACTGGGGCTAAAAGAGCAGAGCTCTGGAACCTTCTCTGCCCACTAGCCTGACCAAACCAGAGCAGCTACCTTTTTATCTGTTCACATATTATACTTCAACCAGGACTTCATCTGAATAAAATACCTATTTGAAAAGACAAAAAAACCAATGATATGTATTTTTTTCTGATTTTCTCTCTTCAAATACTAAAGGTATTTAAACATACTCTTAAACATTAAAAATTAAAAATAGAGCCGGCGCAGTGGTTCACGCCTATAATCCCAGTGCTTTGGGGCTGAGGCAGGATGATCACTTGAGGCCAGGCGTTTAAGACCAGCCTGGGCAAGAGAGCAAGACCTCAACTCTACAAAAAAAAATTTTTAATTAGCTGCAAGTGGTCGCCCACACCTGTAGTTCCAGCTACTTGAGGGGCTGAGGTGGGAGGACTGCTTGAGCCCAGGAGGTCGAGGCTGCAGTGAGCTGTGATCACACCACTGCACTTCAGCGTGGGCAACAGAGCAAGGCTCTGTCTCTAAATAGTAAGTATTTATTTATTTTATATCTATAACCCATTTACCCTGCAACATGCTTCTCTAGTTTAAAATGCATTCACATAATTATATATATTCAATTCAAGCAATTTGTTACAGAAAAATCAATCCCTTTGCTATAGCAGGATGTATTTACATCTGCTTCACAAACTTCATGAAGAGTTTTTAACAACTCCCAACCCACTGCTGGATCCAGACTGCTGGAGCAGGCTAAAGATATTTTATTGCTGGTCCCACCCTCCCTCCTAGGTTTGTTTCCCACTACCTTCCCCACCACCGTAGGCTCTGGCCAAAACAGGCACCGCAGGCATCTGCCCACTCTCCTTCTATCTGCGCTCATTATCTTCCCTCCACCTGGCCTGTCCACCCACCCCCAGCTCTGCAGGCCAAGCTCTCAGACTCAGCTCAGATGGCAGCTTCTCAAAGCCTTTCTTGATCCCCTCTAATTAAATGCAATCTGCCCCTTCTCTCAATTACCATAATTTGCATGATTCACTTTAATGACATTTAGCTTGTAGTGGTTCCCATTAGAGTTATTTCCGTATTTTTAGCTTTTTTATAAGCTCTTGAAGACAAGAACCGAATCATCTCGTACATACTTAAATCCCCTAATTTAACAACAGTGTCTTGTACCTAGTAGGTACTCAAGTACCTCCTGAATAGAACTGAGAAGTAGAAAGACATCCATTACATTACAAAGCAATTCAAATTGGCTTCCCCCTCAAGTAAAGCGTGCAAGTTACTAAACACTGGCTGATCCAAGAGTGGGCTGGCGCTGATGGCGGTTCTCAGGTTAGAAGCACATTAGAGTCACCTGGGAAGCTTTTACCATCCAGGTGTCCAGGCTCCACCCAGCCCAAGCCCAATTACATCAGAATCTCCCAGGGTGGGACCCAGACTCCGGTCCATTTTACAGCTCCTGGATGAAGCCCACGGTGGGCCCAGGCTGATTTTCACCTGCTCTCACACGGAGGCTTCCCCGCAGGCCCCACCCCTGTCATTCCTGGAGGCGGAACACATAAAGCAGATGTGTAAATACCCTTCTCATCTACACATCAGACGGAAATAAAAATCGGACAGATGATGGCTACTTTCATCTAAAAAAACTGTTTTGCTTGTTTAAAGATTCTGAATTTTTAGTCAAACTCACAGAAGCAGAGAGTGGAATGGCAGTTACCAGGTGCTGCGGAGTGGGGAGATGTTAGTCAAAGGGAACAAACTTGCAGTCAGAAGATGGGCAAGCTCTGAAGGCCTAATTCCAGCATGGTGAGTACAGTTAGGAAGAGGGTACGGTGTAGTGGAAATCTGCTGAGAGAGGAATCTTACATATTCTCACTGCACACATTGAAAAAGGTAGCTGTGTGAGGTGATGGATGTCTTCATTAGCTTGATTGTGGTAAGCATTCCACGATGTACATACCTGTATCAAATCATCACACTGTGCACCTTAAATATGCACAATTTTCCTGCTCTTGATGTGTGTGTGTGTGTGTGTGTATATATATATACACACACACACAATTTTTACTTGTCAATATACCTCAAAAATATACCTATTAAGTACTCATAAAAATTAAAAATTATATTTCAATAAAGCTAGGAGAAAAAAGCCCCACTGGCCCAGACGAGCGCCTCAAGGCGCAGGTGTGGCAGAGGGAGAGAGACGACCTCTTCTGAAGCCAAAAGCACATCTTCAGGGCACCCACTCTGTTGGTCTATGTGGCTAGCACAGCTGACCAAATGAGGCTGTGGAACCAGTGAAAGCACACAGGTAGCCGAGGTCAGGAATCGGCACCATCACTCCTGGAGAGAGGGCGTCTTACCCGGCAAGAGTGACCCAGCAGGTTGGAAGCACTGCATAGTGAACCAAGAGGAAAGGCACACCCCTAAGACACAGGAATGCGCGGCCGTCCAGAGAAAGGTGACTGCGTGCTCTGCAGAAGTATTTGCAGCATGTCTTCTAACCAGAACAGTGTTTTAGAATTATTTTTAAAAACCCACAGACCTACTGATCTGTGCACTTGCTAACACAGACGATTCGGGGCATGCTCTCCACCGCACTAAGGAGCAGGAGTTACAGAAGGGAGCGTAGCAGGGAGTGCACCGAGCAGGAGCGAACCTCGTCAGTGCAGCTTCACTGCTCAGACACTGCTTCTGGAGGGACCCTACTCCATCCCACACAGCGAGAGTCCGTCTGGGAGGGCTGACGGCTTCCAGAAACCAAGTCAGCAGGAGCCCTAGAGTAGTGTGTGACTCTACCCTGGGCTGTGAGCAGAGCTCGGCAGTGACTCTTCCACAGTCTTTCCTAAAGGCAGCACTGACTTGCTGAGGAACTAGCAAAGGCCACGCCTCAACATGCCCCGCCTGAGGAGGGTCCGCAGATAATTATCACAGGCCAACCCGGACAGTATTAGAATGAGGCTTCCATAAGTAACTCCTCACATGTCTACAACAGGCTCTCTCCTGCTTTTGTAAATAAAACTTTATAGGAACCCAGCCACTCCTAGTCGTTCAACACGGTCTTCGGCTGCTCTGGCAGAACTGAATAAATGCAGCACAGACCATACGGCCTGCAGAGCCAAAATGATTCACCATCTGGCCCTTTACAGAAAAAGTTGGCCAACTCCCGGTCTCATATCACCATGGGGAAAAAAAACACTACAGCAGCTGTTACCTGGCAGGCTAACGCACAGAAACGGGCATTCTTAGGCCTCAATATTAAACTTCAACTTAGTCATCAAGACCCATACTTTGGAAAGAAGTCCCTTTCTTCGTGGCTACATGAGAGGCAGTGGTGCCCACCAAACATTCTATCACCCTCCCGCTTCCAGTGCCCGGTGGAGGCTGGCCCACGTGACGGCCCGGGGAGGAGGGGTGGAATGGCGCACCAGCTGTCTCCTCCCCGGCAGCGGGGACCTGAGGCGATGTGTTCCAGAAGGGCAGCCACAACACGGTGGTGGAGCCTACTGCCGACCACACCAGACGTGAACCACGTGCAAAGAAATAAACCTTTGCTGCTAAACACTGAGATTTTGGATTAATTTTTATCGTAACATATTCTGGTCTACTCTAACTTAGGTGGCAAAGGAGGTGACCTCCTTTGTGTCTCTCCTTTCCCACAACGGGGTATAGAGTTCAGCTATGTGACAAACGAGAAAGCATGGCCAGCCCCAGGACATTCAATCCTTCCACCTCTCAATCCTACATGAATTCTCTATCACTTGCAAGGCACTCATAACACTGGAGAGGTCCTGTTCAAAAAAACCAAGACGGCTGAGGGAAGACAGGATTTATTCTGCACAAACTTGACAGCCAGGGCCAAGCTACACCCTTCTGAAAGCCACAGAGAAGAAATGATTATCCTAGTGACAAAGTGGTCAGGGACAGGGTTTCCCTCTTTGAAGAATAATCTTGCCGGCTATGGTGGCATGTTCCTGTAGCTACTTGGGAGACTGAAGCAGGAGGATCGCTTGAGCCCGAGAGGTCGAGGCTGCAGTGAGCTGTGATCACGCCACTGCACTCCAGCACGGGCAACAAAAAGAAGAATCCTCTTCCCTCCGCATTTTACATAATTTTCAGTGTGATGCGGTGGGAAAAGCATGAGTTTTCAAAGATGCGGGAAACGGGCTTAAAAGCCAACCGTGCCACTTGGCAGCCACATGATCTCACCTAGCACATAACCCAGGCGCCTTTCGCCACCTTTTCCCAACTCTGGGGCTCAGTGTCATTATCTACTAAATAAGGGGCTCCATCTACATGGTCTCCAAGACCATCTCTGCTCCAAAACTTCTATAAAGTCCAGGGAGCTAAACTGTCAAACAAGAAAATTCCCACCCCGTGAGGAGCAATCTGTAACTGCTGGCAGTTTCCTCTGCTTTATGATGGGATTAAGATTGAACAGTGTTCCCTGCTGCTGCTTTCACTGATGAGGAGACACAGCTAATGTCAGGCGGGATTGAAGTGGGAAGGACATGACCCGCTAGCTTTCTTCATTTGCATACTCCAGTCTCTTTCTAGTTCCCCTTTCTTTGTATTTTGTATTAGACAAGTGTTTAAGAATATGCAGCAAAAACTGAACTGTAATTTGTTTACACCCTCAAAAGTTATCTAAACAGAAAAAAATTTTAATTATAAAAAAATCTTAACAGTAAAATTTCAAACAACTTTAAAACACAAAATGGAGAAAGTAAAAGTTATCCATCATTCCACCCCAAAGATATTTTATTTACTTTAAGAGTTTAGCATACATAATTCAAAAAATACGCAAACTATATATTTTATATAAAATGAAATATATGTAAATTTTACAAGTTCCTTTTTCACTTCATATATACTATAGCTATCTTTTCATCTGAATTTATATTGATTTACCTCATTCTTTTTAAAAGCTACATAGTATTCCACGGCACAGGTGACACAATGCTGAGTGCTGTCAGTTGAGCCTGATTCTCTTCTCTGTACAATTCAGCGACCTGAGTCTGAGTAAGGCGAGTGAGTCATGCCACTGAGCTGACGGCGCGACTCACTCAAGCAAAGACTGATTAAAGGTGCAGGAAGGCTAATTGCCCATCACCTCCTGCTCACCATCTCAGGCTGTCAGTAGGATTTCTTTTTACTCAATAATCATATAGACTAGATTTTCCTCATTCCAGGTTTCAAAATTCCCTGAAATCTAAGAATTTTGAAAAAAATCATAATAATACATGAGCATATTCTATCTGACTGTCCCATTTTGGGCTCTAACCTCTATGTGATGACACCACATTGGCACCAAACCCAAATATGCATGAAACGAAACCAATGGAATTCACGGAAAGCATGGAGGAGGGCATCACTCTTACTTTCCATCGATATTTGTGGCTAAAACTGTCCACCTTAAAATATATCTTGTCAGATAAAAATAAAATATATTTACAATACTGAAATACTTCCAGTTGGCCGGGCATGGTGGCTCATGTCTGTAATCCCAGCACTTTGGGAGGCCAAGGCGGGTGGATTGCCTGAGCTCAGGAGTTCGAGACCAGCCTGGGCAACATGGTGAAACACCATCTCTACTGAAACACACACAAAAAAATTCGCTGGGCGTGGCGGCGTGCACCTGTAGTCCCAGCTACTCAGGAGGCTGAGGCAGGAGAATTGCTTGAACCCAGGAGGCGGAGGTTATAGTGAGCTGAGATCGCACCACTGCACTCCAGCCCGGGTGACAGAGCAAGACTCCGTCTCCAAAATAAAATAAAATAAAATAAAAATTCTAGTTAACTGAGTCATATTTCCATTTTCTCTTACAATTATATTGTCTTTAACAAATCCTATGAAACAGAAGGTGAAACAGGGATATTTACTAGTAATAGACAGTAATACCGTCTTCTAAGAATTATGGGCCTTTAATTGTGGAATGAAATCAAAGTACCTTACCCATGCAGCTCATACCTTATACAGCGGACGCCGCACATCGATGGGGCAGTTCTGTATTACTTCATCAACAACATCTGAGATGGACTCCATAGAGTCTGGGTTGGCAAACTGAATTGTATATCAATATAAAAGAAACATTACACATTTCTCTCAAATAGAACAACATGAACACTCCTTTAAAGTAACTTTAACAAATATACAATTTATTATAACTTAAAAGAATTCACATTGGAATGAAGGATATGTCAAATGAATCCCATGTGACTACGTGTGCGTGGGGTGGTGATGACACATTTCTCCTCATGAGGTAAAATGTATGGATTTAGTGAAGAAAAAATACCAACAACATCACAGACAGACCACCCCCACCCCATGAATACACAGTGATTCAGTCTACTAAGAGCAGTGGAGAGTATGTGCACGATCTACGTGACACGCAGTGAGAAACATGACTTTGACATATCATTTGACAATATTCGTATTATGAGAAAATTAGGATATAAGGAAAAAGAAACAGGTTCAATGAAAGATTAATTAAACCTGGTCTAGAAGATGCAGGGAAGTGTTTTGTTTAATGAGAAGGGTTTGTTTAACATGAAACAATCCACATGATAATCATGTTATTGAATAAACAGCCATAGATTCAATTCCATAAGTTAAATAAGCTAAAGTATAACGAATTCAACTCAATTACATTTCATTTGAAATATTTTAAAAATCAAAGTAAGCTTGAATGTGCACTCTCAGAGGAAGGAGGAGGATATTCAGTTGCTCACCAGCTGTTCACTGGACATTTGACTGTTCTATGTCCATTTCAAATCAATACTATTAAAAGTGAGCATTCACTAGATTATCATTGTTATTATTTTATTCTTCAGATTACTAGCGAGGAACACATTCTATGCTATTTCTCTGTACAAAATAGTCATATACACATCTAAAAACAAACAGCAGTTTGTAACCCACCTACTGAATATAAACTGAATTAGCCAGGAATATATACCAAAATATAAATAAAATGCATTATATGTAAATCTTAAAATGTGCCTCCTAATTACTGCTTTCTGCAAAAGTACTAATAATTCCTTATGACTACTAGTTAAAATGATGACATTTCTAATTCTTAAGATTATCTAAATAATAGAAATGCTGGCCTTAGACAGAAGCTTTACCTAACTTGCAGCAGGGAACAGAGCAGGACCAACTGTCCAGGGTTAAAATTAGAAGTTAGGAAGGGCAATCACCAAAGATAGAAAGGTTACATATTATCCCACTCTTATGCACAGGCAACCTCCATACAGGCCTTGAGAGTAGCTACTTGTAATGCTAGCATGTGACCACCCACAACCCTTGGAGATTACTTTTAATTCTATTATCATCTATCGCTCCTAAAAGTCTTCCTAACTATTTGTGGTATAACCCATCCTTAACTATTAAAACAGATAACCAGCTCTACGGAGAGGCAAACTGAACAATCTGTCAAGCAGACAAACTGCATGGGGGATGCAGAGAGACCGAATGACGGCCACCCTGCTCACAGGCCCTTCGCTGGGAACTGCTCTTTCTACACTCTGGGTGGCAGTATCGCTCCATCCCACACTTGAGCACACAAAAAAAGAAACACCTTACCTCCGGGTGAAAGAATATTTCAGGTCCCAGGAATCTTTCGTAACCAACGTCTATAACAAACTTCTTCTGGTTGATCGCATTGATACCCGTGTACTGTTTGATCCACTTCTGGGGATCCACATCATACTTGGCAAATTCCTTGACTATATCGGGGCAAATGTAACAGTATTTCTCCTGCATACACACACAAAGATGTTGCCAGGCATTAACAACTGCCCAGTGTCTCTGCCCTCAGACAAATAACCAGGAAGCCCATGCAGTAAACACACCCTGGGATCAGAACCGCCCCCACCGTTACTCTAGTGTGGATATGCATCAAGCCTCACATTCCATCGTCTTTCATGTTAGACATGGTTACACTTGGACTTCGGACAGGTAAGTCTGCTTTCTCTGCAACTCAGCTATTAATCTCAGCCTTGGTCTATCCAATTCTATCGCTATCATATCTGAAATGATGTCTACAGGTGTCTAGAAAGCACCTCGTCTTGCCTTGTTCCTCTCAGATGCCTCCTATGGCCTGCTCTGGCACCTCACTGTGGTCCACACTGGACCAGTGGACCCGTGCTGCGAGCTCAACTACCGAGTGCGGCACTGTCTACACCCTAAACCTGACTGTAGAGGCTTCTTTGGGTCCCATTTGGGTCCCAGCATGCCACAAGCCGGGTGGCCACTGTCAACCTGCTGGTTGTTAATCTGGTGTGGAGCTGGCCACAGCACTGTCATCAGCTCCACTGACACCATCTCTTTGCCTAGAGACAGTGTACCTTGTTGACTGGGTATTCTAAGTCCCTCAATCAACATAGATTTATTGTCTAGGCACTTGGGATACACAAGGTAGCGAAACACACAGATCCCTGCCAAGATTACACTCTAGCTGGGAGTCAGAAAACAATAAGCAACCATAATAAGTAAATGACATGGTAGGTTATAAAGTGATAGGTCCCGGGGAAGAAAGGAAAAGCAGAGTCAGGTGGGAGGACTGAAGCCGCCAGGATGCTGCTGCTGCTGCTGCTGCGAGAGAAGTCGCTAACGATTCCCACCCTGCACCGACAGGCAGCCTGAGGGATGCGAAGTGTTTCATGGGTATCTGGTAAGATGAATGTTCTTGGACACCTTTGTGTTGATATGTGTCCTTAGAGCTGGCCTCAGCATAGCAGCAGGTGACCCCCAGATACTTGCTGCCTACAGGAAGCACGAGGTGGGCCGCCCAGCTGGCGCTGAGCACACTGTGGAAGGAATGGCTCTCTCAAGGACCTCCAAAGACGCTCTCGTGGTATTAAGTTTAAAGTTTCTTAGCATCCCTGAAACATATTCTAATGCCATCTTCTGGGTATCTTGGATATACTCTAGCGGAATTTTAAGAAGACTGACAGGCAAGAAGTGCTACACAACCCTGTGTTCTTTGATGACACAGAGCAACAGGGTCAGCTGATTACAACCTCAAATCTACCAAGACTGGAGACAAAGGCATTCAGTTCTCCTCACAGGCCTGGTCAACATCCTACAGCATCTCAGCTTACTTAACTCAAATGCTTCCTAGGAAATGTTTCCATTGAGTTGGGTGCAGAGTAACAGGCTTAACCTTAAGGTTCAGGATTCATGCTGCAAGGTTGGTGTGCTCACGTTACACACTCCCTCAGGCCTGTTCGCGACCACAGAAGGCCATGGCAGTAAGGGGAAGCGGGGGGAGCTCTAAACCACGCCTTTCAGGATCTGTTCCTTCAAAGAGAGAAGTCAGGTGAGAACTAACAGGGCTACCCCACAGAGCAGGGCCAGGGCAGCTGATTCGGAGGCTACGAACAGTCTCTTTTACTCCCAGCCTTCACTGGGGGGAGACACATAGTCACATCGAGCACATCAGCCCAGATTTCAGGGTCCAAATTGGAACCCCAACAGCCCGTGAGGAGAGTTGAAGGCCCAGCATGAGGGTCAGGAAAGCCCCTCCTTGGCAGTGTTGCTCAGCAATCCTGGCGGAAATAGGGAGGACTCAGACTCACTGGAGTGGACCCTGGGCGTCAATAACAAAAGGCTCAATTCTTTTTTTTTTTTTTCTTCTTTTTTGAAATAGAGACGAGATCTCGCTATATCACCTGGGCTAGTTTCGAACCCTGGCTCAAGCAATGCTCCAGCCTCAGCCTCCCAAAGCCCTAGGATTATAGATGTGAGCCACTATGAAGGGGCTCAATTCTGACTTACATTTCTAACAGATTTGGAGTGGCAAGGGAGCTTGGATCAAATAGTCAAATATTCTTCCATGGAGGAAAGGCAAAGAAAGGAGAAGGTAACCCCTTAGGAAATATTTTAGTCTAAAAAAGAATATCTAATGATACCTCAGGAAACCTTCCCCTGAGATGGAAGGGACCACGTCTTCCCCACATCACCATTTCAGCACTGAGAGCCCCCTTCCCAGGAATCTCTGGTCCCAGGTAAAGCAGGGCAGGTCATACCCAACTGCAGAGCCTGCCTCATGCCAGTGCCTCCTGACCTAAAAACACCTCGGGAATCATCTCTGGTGCTTCCTTTCCTTCAGCCAGCCTCAGTTACGAGGTGCTGAGAAGGGAGGAAGGCAGTGAGGAGAAGTGTGGGTGTCAGGCTCACCCCCATCAAGCTCTGCTACACTCAGTAACTGTGCCATAAAGGAAGAAGATGCTTATGGCCACATGTCACAGCCACACCTGTGTGTGAATTTTGTGCAATAGCTCTGGATCCTAGGTTGGCAGTGTTCTGCTGCTGTGGTCGCCTCCTGATTCTACAGCGAAGCATGGAGGCAGTATGGAAGGAGCGCTCTGGTAGATGAGGCTCCAGCAGTGAGGCTCCAGCTGAACAATGCTGCCTCTGCACGCTGGTACGCTGTACCAGCTACCAAGCTGTTCTCAGTGACAGCTGGAACCTCAGAGCATCTAGTTTGGAAGAGGTTAAGCTTTACATCTTCAGCCCACTTAAGGGGTAAAACAAATCAAGCCCCACACTCATGGGAAGGGGAGAGGATGGAAAGGAGGGGCAGGGATGATGGCACCAAGGGGAAGTGTCCAGAACACCATCTCTCTCACCCCCAAACCAGCCGGTTTCCCATCTGTTTTTACCTTAATGGCTTTTGCGGTCTCCAGTGACTGCTCAGGAGGGATTCCCACCTCCCTCTCCCTTAGCAGCTGTTGAATGAAATACGTAATATCTCTACCTGCAATCGGGATGTGTTTGATGCAGCTTCCAATTACATAACCTTCTGCCTAGGGAAGAAGAGGAGGCAGAACAGCTGTGTTAGTGATTTCGTGGTGGAGAGCAGCCTGGACTCACGAGGTTTCCTGCCTCAGCCTCCCTGTCTGCCCCTCACGGCACTGACAAGCATTGACAGAATCCCCACCCTCTGCAAGCTCAGTACAGAAGGTCTTTCAAAAGGACTGCATATGCAATTCCATTAATATTCAAAATTCCAGATTATTCCAATAACCTGACACTCTCCAAAAGCAACCAAAATGATTTCATTAGGAATATGAAAAGAAAAACCACATAAGATAGTTCATTTCCAAAAAGAAATGCTGTCTGTAAGAACACTAAACCCAATAGGTTCTTTCCCTAACAAAAAGGAAAAAGTTTTATTTATAAATTGTTAAGCCAACTATAAATCTACTTACGTTTAAAAGTCAGCAATTTGGTTAATACACAGGGCTTAGATTCTAACAACCTGGACTCAAATCCCAGCTCCACATTTGCAAGTTTCACATGCTTCAGCCTCAGCGCGTTTGTCCATCGTATGAGGCAAACAATACCCTGCTGGGGCCAATGATACAGTTCAGATGAAACTGCGTGTGTCGAGCACACAGCACTGGTTTTGGGGGCTGGGAGCCTCTCATTCCACTGCCTCCCTAAGCCAGTGAAGGCATGTCTGTGAGGGGCCAGGAAAGGAGGGTGACCACGACCTGGGCCGATCAATGGCAGGGCCAGTGTCAAGTGTCCACATGCCCACAGCAATGATGGGCCCAAAGCTCCCTCATCAGCCTTCCTGTGGGCACAGACCTGCCACAGGAGCCACAGGCTTGGACACACATCCAGCTTGTTCTACAGGGGATGAGCAGGATGCTGACCGTCAGAGTGGACAACGCCCACCGCTGGATCATCCGGTAAAGACACTCAGGTTTCACGTTACAGCACATCACAGCTTCTGTGCCACAGTCCCCAAATGAGACAGAAGGGAACAGAAGTGAAACGCTGACTTCATTTTACAGATGTATTCATTCTAATAGCTGCATCTAGTCACCAGTAAAGTTGCAAGAACAACTTACTGAATTCCTCCTATGGTTTCTTTCTGATATACCTAACTTCCAGAAGCAAAAAAAGATTTAGCCTTTCTGCAGAGTCCAAGTATTTGTAAAGTATTTTAAGATGGAGATAAAAGTATAAATTACTAAAACTCAACTTAAACCCATAAAAATAATATTAGCTTTCTAACACATAAACTATTCACAATTACTATATTCTATGCATTACACATAATATTTTCTAAAATACTGTTAAATAAATATCAGCTCATGACAGTGGTAAAAATATTAAAACAAGATACATGTCCAACAACAGAAAAATAAATTATGTACTTCTTAAATGTATTTTCACAGAATATTTAACCACAAGAGAAAAAAACTAGGGTTAAATTAATACGCAAAATATAACCTTAGGATTGTATTATATGTACAATCCCAAACCAGACATGAGACATTCCAATTGTGTTTAAAGTGTGTGTGTGTGTGCATGCATGCGTGCACACACGTGTCTTAGAAAAAGAGCTTAGGCCGGGCATAGTGGCTCACGCCTGTAATCCCAGCACCTTGGGAGGCCAAGACAGGCGGATCACCTGAAGTCGGCAGTTCGAGACCAGCCTGACCAATATGGAGAAACCCCATCTCTACTAAAAATACAAATTAGTCAGGCATGGTGGCGCATGCCTGTAATCCCAGCTACTCAGGAGGCTGAGGCAGGAGAATCGCTTGAACCTGGGAGGCAGAGGTTGCAGTGTGCCGAGATCGTGCCATTGCACTCCAGCCTGGACAACAAGAGTGAAACTCCATCTCCAAAAAAAAAGAAAAAGAGCTTAAAGACTATACGGCTAAAAGTATAATACAGGTCTTTGGGCGGCTTTAAAGGTAATTTTATTTCTTCAAATTTGTCTATTTTATCCAAATTTTCAATGACTAATGTAATTTTTATAGCTGGAGGAAAAACTGAACTAAGATACGATTAAAAATCTTTTCAAACAACTTTCTTAGTGGGCCTGGACACACTGTGAAATGTATTTTCTTTCCTTTTCCTAAATCAGACATAAGAAATAGGCAAAGAACCAAAGGGGGTGCAGGCCAGGGGCCTACGGGGGCCTCATCTTGGATCTCAGCAGCGCAGTTCTCTGAGGAAATGGCAGCCTGAGTTCTCGGTGAGTGCTCTGCACCCAGGGCACTAACTCTTCTCAAGATCCACCGAAAGGAGTGCTGAGACTGGCTTGAAGGGGGCTCAAGTCTAGAGCACACTTCACAGGGCAGGGCAGCCACCTCTCCTCCCCACAGGAAGGACACATAGCCAGGAGTACAAGGTATGGGGGCGGGAGGCTGGCTTTTTTCTCCCTGACTGTAGGCCCATCGACCATTAAGCCTTTCCTCTGCAGTGATACCTAACCTTCAAGGAATTAAAGGCATTGGTATTAGTACATCACCCCATCACCTTCTCAAAATGAAATGGTGACCATTTTTTCAATTAAATTAAATGATTTTTGAAAATCCTAATTTGCATTTTAAAAGAGCTGTGTGTATGTAAATATATACACAAACACACCCCCCCATATACATATGCAGAAACATTATCTGTAACATAACAGAAGTAACTAGCAATGGTGGTTCCTGAGGAGGAGACCTCAAAGGAGAAAGACCAGGATGAGTCTGACTTCCCTCTGAATACCCTCTTCAGACACTTCTGATACATTTTCCAAAAAAAATGAATTTAAGATAATTCCTTTAAATAGTCCATTGGACCAAAAGAAAAATTCAGAGATCTCTTGAAACCCAAATTAGGAATCACTTCTCTGAAACCAAAAAGTGGTATTGCAGAGCCTTCTGCAAGCCAAAATGTACAATCTCCCCTTCTTGGCTTTTAAATTTTTTTTTTTTTTTTTTGAGACGGAGTTTCGCTCTTGTTGCCCAGCTGGGGTGCAATGGCGCGATCTCGGCTCACTGCAACCTCCATCTCCCGGGTTCAAGCGATTCTCCTGCCTCAGCCTCCCAGGTAGCTGGGACAGGCATGCGCCACCACACCTGGCTAATTTTGTATTTTTAGTAGAGACAGGGTTTCTCCATGTTGGTCAGGCAGGTCTCGAATTCCCGACCTCAGGTGATCCGCCCGCCTTGGCCTCCCAAAGTGCTGGGATTACAGGCGTGAGCCACCGCGCCCAGCCCTTAAATAAATTTTTAAAACAAAAAGCAATTTTTCCAAGCTTGAGCTGGTTGCCATTCACATCTTTTCAGAGAACACAGATGTGCTCCTTCAAATGGCCACGCACTGCACCTACAAATTCAACATCCAAAACGGTGTCTATCTCCCAACATGTCGGAATAACCCCGGAAAATGTTCTTGTTGATGTTACACCCACGGGGATCAAGCAGAGGCTCTGAAGATCCAGAGACATCCTGGACATTCTCTGACATTCTGACTGTAAAAATATGCCACCATGAATTGAAAATTGCCAAAGCCACAATAATTGGCCATCCTTTTCATTCTTTCCCACATACTTGGGGAATTCCTTTATATAAGGTGGCAAAAAATAAAAAACTTTTATTATCTTTCTAAGTACAACTATCATCTAAATTGTATTTTCATTACAGAAGAGGTTTTTTTTTTTTTTAATTTCCATCCTTACCTCGAATCAGGTGTTAAGCCTACAGAGACTTATATATTAACTATTCTGCTTACCACTGGGATAACATGGGTGACTCCATCTCCGCTGTCAATGACTATCCCCGTTAATGTACGTTCACCCACTTGTCGAGATGTCCAAGATGCCGCCAAGGCCAGCACTGCCTGGAGAAAAGACATGAAAACCGCTCGCACATAGGAACTCTTTCTAAAGCCACCTGCCTGCTCCTTCCAGGTCCAATCAACAAACTCTCTTACTTAATATGTCTGAGTAACTCTTTCCTTTTCCTATCCATCCTCTAACCCCTGTCCCTCAAATTCCAATTCAAACTTGGACAACTAACACGAAAATGTTGAGTACTTACAACTATAGGAGTCAAGTTTTCAATAAAGAAACGTGGCTGACTGTGGTGACTCATGCCTGTAATCCCAACACTTTGGGAGGCCAAGGTAGGCAGATCACTTGAACCCAAGAGTTCGAGACCAGCCTGGGCAACATGGTGAAACCCCATCTCTACAAATAATACAAAAATTAGCCAGGCGTGGTGACACGCACCTGTACTCCCAGCTACTCGGGAGACTGAGGTGGGAGGATCCCTTCATCCCAGAAGGTCGCAGCTAGAGTGAGCCATAATCGCACCACTGCACTCCAGCCTGGACAACACAGTGAGACCTTGTCTCAAAAATAAAAAAAAGAAAGAAAGAAAAAAAACTAAGGTTTTACAAAGAAAAGCCAGTGAAAAAGATATTTCATTATAGAATCATAAGATTTTAATTTCTACTTCATTGGTTTCCGGCGTGGGGCCACAGATTGGCAATGAGGTCACTTGTGGCGTTGTTTAAAATACAGATTACTAGGCCTCACACCCAGAAATTCTAATCTGGAAGGTACAGGGTAATTTTTCAACCAAAGAAAATGTTGCCCCAAAGGGAACATCTGACAATATCTGGTACCATTTTCTTCGTCGGGGCGGGGAGGCTTGAGGTGGGGCTGCTGTCTTCTAGTGGGCAGAGGCCAGGGATGCCGCTACGCTCCCCGCAATGCACACGGCGGCGCCCACAACAAAGGACTACCCAGCCCAAAGCACTGAGGGTGGAAAACCCTGGTCGAAGACGAAGCCCAAAATCTGTGCTTCTAAAAACATTCTCCAGGTAAACTTGCTGCACAGACCACTTTGAGAACCACCAGTCTTATGTCTCCTGAAGTGTTTCCCTAGGCCATGGAATATAAGTAACTTAGCCAGGGGGAAGATCTGTAGTTAAATGAATTTGGAAGTGCTAGAATACATAGATTTCGACACAGGAATGCTCAGAGCCTGGACTGTGCTGATAGGCACTGTGAATCAGCCCGAGAAAGCTGCAGGATGCAGCATCGCCCAAATTCATCTTTCTATGGAACTTTTCCTCCTCCTCCTCCTCCTTAGAAGTGACTAGTATTATGCAGAAAACATTTGGGCAACACCCATCTCATTTATTCCCCAAAATTTCAGTCAATTCCCTTACATAAGGTGGCAGGCAAATAATGACCAAATGCAACCAAAAAATATCACACCAAGAACCGCAGCTTCAGAACAAGTTCTGCGAGCTCATGAAAACACAGGGTCCCTCAGAATCAAGTACACTGGGACTCATAAGAGCCCAAAATCGGAAAGGGGAAACCTCTAAAGGTAATTATTTTGTTTTTCTGATCAAAGTCAAAGATGCCAAAAGAAGAAGCACATCTACACCTATATCTTGTCACCCAGATAAAAATGCATGAGACTTTAATGCATGTAAAAAGAGCCAGACGACGTCTATACCAAAAAATGGCATCAATATAAAAAGAAAAGTCATGGGACACCTTCCCTATAGTCCTGAATGGCATGGGGACGGGGGAGGGAGTGGAAAAAGGAAGGGCACACAGCGCAGTCTTCCAGCGGAGAACCTTGGGAAATACCATTTCTTCCGCTACTAGACAGCTCAGGTGCTTTAGGAATCACAAACATAACTGGTTTTACCTGAACTGCAATGTAGAGTCCTGGAACGTTAAATGATTCGAACATAATTTCTGCAAGATACTCTCTGTTTTCTGGTGTATTGAGTGGAGGTTCTGTCTGTAAGAAAACATTCACTATATTTAGTGTTTACCCAAATTTCATGTAAATACATCAGAACCATAAACAGGTTAACCTGAAAGTATGTTAGCGAGGACATTATACAATTCCCTAATTTTACAGACAGAGGATGCCCAAAGTGTATTAAAGAAATCTGGCCGTGGGCCTTAAAAGCTTTAAGACGTCAGAGTAAATACTTCTCTGAAGGCCTCTGTTCTTATTACCCACCCAAATTAGAACAAGTTACAGAAAAAGAAACTCTTATCTTCAATAACATAACACCTAAACACCCTGAAACTGAATATCCCAGAAGCAAGTTGCCAAGGGCTATGAAAACACAACCAAGACGAGTGAGGACATCAAAGGCGAACCGGTGACTTCAGGTCTCAGCAAAGGAGAGCCAGAGGAGCAGCAGCAAGCCCTTGCTCAGGACAGGCCGGTGTGAGGAGCCACAGGGTGGCAGAGCAGGCAGGGTTAGGCCAAGCACCCTTACAGTCCAGCGGCAAGGGAAGAGTCCAGGGCAGATCACAGCTTCCCCCAGACGCTGCCCAGGACCTCCCCAGCCTACCCACACGCCATTAGTCCAGAAGAACTCTGCTCATTCAGAGACGAGTAAGGGGCACAAAGAAGCCAGCCAACAGTGATATAAAAACACTCAAAGAGAAAGAAAAGGGACAGAGAAAAGAGGAAAAACAAATGGCAGACAAAAACACATATCCAGGGGCAGGCGTGGTAGCTCACGCCCATCATCCTAGCACTTTAGGAGGCTGAGGAGGGAGGATCACTTGAGTCCAGGAGTTTGAGACCAGCCTGGGCAATATTGGGAGACCCCACCTCTATGAAAAAATTTAAAAGTCAGCCAAGTGTGGTGGCACATGCCTGTGATCCCAGCTACTCGGGGGCTGAGGTAGGACCACTTGAGCCTCGGAGGTGAAGACTACATGAACCAAGATTGTGCCACTGCACTCCAACCTGGGTGACAGAGCAAGATCCTGTCTCCAAAAGACCGAAAAAAAAAAATATCTGGAAAAATATTGAAACAAAGCAGATAAAAATTCCCAAGAATTTCCAAAGACATTTCCAAGAATCCAAGTATCTATTTTAAAACAATAACCATCATCAAACAGGAGGAAATGACAGACAACAGAAACAGAAAAAGAATAAATAAACTTGATTTTTCTCATTCAACAATATACTATGAACATTTTTCCTTGTCAACAAATATGGGTCTATATCTCGTATTTAAAACTGAAAAAATAAAAAGTCTCTGGACCTTTGGGCAAAACGTATACATTACCCTTTATTATGAATGAACTGTGCTCCCCCTACCTCCAGTTCATACATTAAAGCCCTAACTCCCAGTGTACTATAATTGGAAATAGGGCCTTTCAAGAGGTCATCACGGTTACCTGAGGTCATAGGGGTGGGGCCCTAATTTGACAGGACTGGAGGAAGGTCTTCTAAGAAAAGGAAGAGACACCAGAAATCAGTCTCTCTCTCCTATTCTCTCCCCACTCTACGCTCACACAGGGGAAAGGCATGTGAGGACCCAGCAGGAAAGGTGACCACATACAAGCCAGGAAGAGGGCTGCGCCAGGAGCCAACCCCGACGGCACCTCGACCTTGGACTTCTAACCTCCAGAACTGTGAGAAAACAACGAACTGTCTGCTGTTTAAGCCACCCAACCTGTGGTATAAACAAAATTACAGCAGCCGAGTAGACTAATACACCCCTACGACAGGGAAAGTACAATCAGCCTCAGCCTTCAACACGGCTACATTTAACACTAGGACACATAGGGCCACACTTAAGAGTCTTCAAGGGAAGAAGGTACGACCCAAGAATTCTATATCTGGCCACAGTGTCAATCAAGTATGTTACAAAATCAAAATATCTAATATTTGAGATGATGGATATGCTAATTACCCTGATCTGATAACCACACATTATATGTATCAAAACTTCACTCTGTACCCCATAAATATGCACATTATGTGTCAATTTAAAAAAAAAACAATAAAATAAAATACTAAGGAGAAAAAATATATATCCTTAAACATACAAGAACTTGGAAAATTTCATTCCCATGAGCCAAAATGTATGGGTTCATGAACTATTAGAGGATAAACTTTATCCACTCAAGAAGAATGCAGAAAGTCCAGCAAAAGACTTACAGTGAGCAATGAAGCCATTTAAGACGTAGGAATAAAGACTTTTCTTTGGCCGGGCACGGTGGCTCATGCCTGTAATCCCAGCACTTTGGGAGGCCGAGGCGGGCGGATCACCTGAGGTCAGGAGTTTGAGACCAGCCTGGCCAACATGGGGAAACCCCATCTCTACTAAAAATACAAAAATTAGCCAGGCATGGTGGTGTGCACCTGTAGTCCCAGCTACTTGGGTGGTTGAGGCAGGAGAATTGCTTGAACGTGGGAGGCGGAGGTTGCAGTGAGCTGAGATCACACCACTGCATTCCAGCCTGGGCGATGGAGTGAGACTCCGTCTCAAAAAAAAAAAAAAAAAAAAAGACTTTTATTTTCTGGGAATTAAGAACAGAATGTAAATGTTATAAATTTTAATGGAAAAAAATGATATCAAGTTGAGCAGTGCACAAGGAAAGAAGGAGAGAGTGTAAAGACACTTGCCTCTTACAGTGAAATCAAAAGATATTATTTAAAACTGATAAAGTATCAGAGGCATTAGTAAACATAAAGTTATAAATGTTAACACTGGAATAAGTTTAGTAACATCATTAATCAAAAGCAGGTGGTGGAGAGAAGGAAGGGGAGGCAAGAACATGTGGCAATACCAACCTGGTCACTGATTACAGCAGGAAGGAGCTAGTTACCCCTAAACAAATACAGGGTAAACATATCAAATTATACTAAAATATGCAAACATGAGTCCTTTTAATCATTACCAAGAACACACACCCAATACAAAGCAAAGAGAAAAATAAGTCTTCAGTTAAAAAATACTAATACATAAATAAAGTACATTAAAAACATGAAGCATAACATTTTAAAAAAATAGTTAAATTAAGACCAAACATATCTGTCACACAGTAGCATGCCATACCAGTCCGATTAAGAGATGTGAAGTCAAACTGACTGGGATCAAATCCCAGCCTTCCACTTTACTAGGCTTGGTAAGCTATTTCCTCTCTCCCTGAGTCTCCTCATGGGTAAAGTGCAGGTAATTAGTACCCCACTCAGAGAGTTGGAAAGATTAAAGGCAGTCTAAATAATGTGCTTAGAGCAGTACTGGATACACAGATGTGTTCAATGGAAGTGAGTTGCTATTACTAAAATTATCAGCAAATACAAATGGGAAATTCAACTACTAAAAGTCTCTCAGTTAAAAACAAAAACAAAATCAAATTACATTCTGAGGTTAAGAGACCCAACTAAAACAAAGTAGCTTGGAAAGGTAAAAAGTCAACATTGTCTGTATCAGAAGATCAGAAACAACCTAAATACCCATCACTAAACACTTTGGAACAATTTAAAAAAATGAACTCTATGAAGAAACAATCTCTATGATGAATTGTTAAGTGAAAAAGAGAAAGGTGTCTCCATTCCGTATACATTCTTAAATATCCTTCTGCTTCAACAATTTGTAATGAAAACTTTTTTTTTTTTTTTTTTTTTTTTGAGACAGAGTCTCACTCTGTCAACCAGGCTCAAGTGCAGTAGCCCAATCTCGGATCTCTGGGAGACTCCACCTCCCAGAATTCAAGCAATTCTCCTGCCTCTGCCTCCAGAGTAGCTGGGATTACAGGCACATGCCGTCACGCTCAGTTAAGTTTTGTATTTTTAGTAGAGACAGGGTTTCACGATGTTGGCCAGGCTGGTCTCGAGCTCCTGACCTCAAGTGATCCACCACTTCGGCCTCCCAAAGGCTGGGATTACAAGGCGTGAGCCACCATGCCAGGCCAAAAACTATTTTTAAAAAACAAGGTGTGGTAGCCGGGTGTGTGCCTGTAGTCCCAGCTACTCAGGAGGCTGAGGCAGGAGGATCACTCCAGCCCAGGAGGTCGAGGCTGTCTGTAGTGGCTGTATGACTGCACCTGTGAATAGCCACTGCACTCCAGCTTGGACAACATAGAGACCCCCTCTCAAAAAAAAAAAAAAAAAAAAAAAAAAAAAACAAAAAACAGGCTGGGTGGTGTGGCTCACACCTGTAATCCCAGCACATTGGGAGGCAGGGGCAGGTGGATCACCTGAGGTCAGGAGTTCAAGACCAGCCTGGCCAACATGGGGAAACCCCATCTCTGCTAAAAATACAAAAATTAGCTGGGCGTGGTGGTGCACGCCTGTAATCCCAGCCAGTCGGGTGGCTGAGGCAGCAGAATTGCTTAAACCCGGGAGGCAGAGGTTGCAGTGAGCTGAGGTGGTGCCACTGTACTCCAGCCTGGGCAACAAGAGTTAACTCCATCTCAAAAACAAAAAACAAGGTCGGGGGAGAGGGGAAATAATGGGGACTCGTTCAATGAGTACGGAGTTTCAGTTTTGCAAGATGGAAAAGTTCTAGAATCTCTTACACAACAGTGTGAATATAGTTAACATTACAGAATTGTACAGTTAAAAATGGCTAATAGGGCACAAATAGTATTAGGGTTTTTTTTTACAATTTAAACCAAAAAAAAAAGTTTAATTCAAAAATCCAAGGTGTGCAACAGTATGCATATTGTGTTACCATTTGTGTAAAATAAAACTGTGTGCTAGCCGGGCGCAATGGCTCACACCTATAATGCCAACACTTTAGGAGGCTGAGGTGGGCGGATCATGAGCTCAGGAGTTTGAGACCAGCCTGACCAACATAGTGAAACCCCGTCTCTACTAAAAATACAAAAATTAGCCAGGCTTGGTGGCACATACCTGTAGTCCTAGCTACTCAGGAGGCTTGAGGCAGGGGAATTGCTTGAACCCGGGAGGCGGAGGTTGCGGTGAGCTGAGATCGTGCCACTGCACTCCAGCCTGGGCTACAGAGCAAGACTCCATCTCAAAAAAAACAACAACAAAAAAAGAAAGAACAAAAACAAGTGTGTGCTAACCCATATGCCTACACACAATCACCCCTGGAACATGAACAATCAGCTGGCTAAGAACGGGTAAGGGCGGCTTCCTCTAGGCAGGAAAGAGGCGAGGGGGGCACGCTCTCTAGAAATCTTCCAGCACCTTTTCAGTTCTGCACTGTGTGTGCATCACTTCTTCAAACAACAAGCAAGCAAATCTACCTACCAACTAGCCTGGCACTTTAAACTCTGGCACAGCAGCTGGTGAAAAGTTCAAACACACTGCCCCAAGTAAGTTTTAGTCACTGTAATTAGAATCCATCAATTCCTGGATGGGAGAGAGGAAGCCATCTCAAAATGTGGAAGGGAGAATAATGAAGTCATACTCAAACACAGGCTGCAAATAGGGAACCTAAAAAGCACTCCACAACATGGTATTTATTTCAATGCGCCTACTCGGGCTGAGGAGATTAAATCTGCTAATAGCAGTGAAGTGCCCAGAACACAGTTAGAAGTATAAATGTTAGCGATTACTACTTTAGATTTCCTTCATTTAAAGCACGTGAGTAAGAGATGCAGATTCCAATAGTAGTGTGTACAATCTCTCTCTTAAGCTACCTCCTATCGATCTGAAAAGCGGGCCTAATAACATCACCTATCTCAGAGGGTTGTTGGTGGCATTAAAAATGAGTTAATACTTATAAACACTTAGAATGGGGCTGGGCACATAGAAGTACTCAATAAACAGCCATAATAGCCAATATTGTATCTCATTCCAGAAGAAATAACATATTAACTGAAGAAACCTATGTTTGTCATCTTGAATAGGAACCCAAGCATAATTATAAGTGAAATAAACAAAATATTTAAACTGAGTAGAGGTGGGGAAGTATCAGGAGAGAAAGGTTAAGAAGGTATGAAGATTTCTGAGTACAGCTGGGGAAGGTTTCTTGCCTCCCAGCAAAGAGATGCCTATTTAACCTGAAGCAAAAACAGACCTGTAGGAAGACATCACCAACAAGAATCAGATTAACCCTGGCTCCCTGCATTCTCTCTGGGTCTAAGTTCAGTGTGAAATGATGATCCAAATAAATCCCAGATGGATGAAGATTAAATACAAACATCAAAGGAAAATGGGTTTTACCAACATACAAATTTAAAGTTATGGATGTCCAAATGAAATAACCAAAAGAGAAAGGCAAAAAATTAACTGAGTAAAACTAACCTGCTGCAAATATAACAACAAAAGAAGCTTTCTATCTTAATTATATGAAAGCTTCCAGAGAATAAGCAGAATGTGGTATCTATGTACAATGGAATATTATTCAGCCTTAAAAAGAAAGGAATCCTGGCACATGCTTCAACATGGATGAAGCATGAAGACGCTAAGTGAAGTAAGCTGGTCACAAAAGGACAAATACTATATGATTCCATTTATATGAGGGCCCTAGAGTCATCAAATGTATAGAGACAGAAAGTAAAATGGGCATTCCAGGGGCAGGTAAAGGAGTAAAGAGAATTCGTGTTCAATGGGGACAGAGTTTTAGTTTGGGAAGATGAAAAGGCTTCTGGAGACAGACGGTGGCAATGGTTTGTGAATGTGCCTAATGCCACCAAGCTGTACATTCAAAAATGGTTCAAATGATAAATTCTGTTATGTGTATTTTAGAATAAAAAAAAGTTAAGTAAAAACAAAGTTCATAGAAATCACAGCAACAAGAAAAGCAATAAAACAACGATACGTAAAAGAGCACAGGGCATGAACAGACAGCTCGCAAAAGAGGAAATACAACTAACTAATGTGGAAAAACGTATAAGGTCAAAGTTATCAAAAATGCAAATGTAAAGCATATGGCAAATTTTAATCCATTAAATGATCAAAAATAATATTAATGCTGACAAGAGTACAAAGAAAGCAAGCCTCTTGCGCGGTGCTGACGGCAGTCTGAAATGGCACACTGTGCAGAGACTAATAAAATTACTAACACTGCTGAACTCCATAATCAAACACTGCTAGTTCTTTTTAAGTAAAAAAGACTCGAAATACAGGAAAAACTGTATGCACAAAGATTACATTATTTCTTATAAAACCAAGAAAATGACTAAAAATAGTGGAACTGCTAAGCAGGAAATACCTACTAGACAGATTATCATATAGCTGTTAAAATAAGGGTTATGAAAACTGTAAGGAAATGAGGAGTATAATATTGGGTGTAAAATCATTTTAAAAATGGGTAAAAAGATTAAATGAAAATATACTAAATGTCAACAGTACCTATGTTAATGTGATAAGACTATAAAAATCCCACAGATATCTTCCAAATTTTCTATACCACACTTACAATTCTACTGTAGTGAAGGGGGAAATGATCTCTATGTGAAGTGTTAAACTCCGAGTTATGGCTGTGGGGCAAGATCACACAAACTCCTCATCTAACTTCCCAATTTCCTAATGTATTTTATCCACAGACAGACTTACGGCAGCAAGATGGCAATGCCAAGCAGGAGACGCAGCACATCTTGCCACAGCTTCCTCCTGGCCAGAGGCTCCCTAACATGGGTGACACTCTCCACATAGGTAAAATCCAGCCAGAGTTGTGAAAGCAGCTGAATCTCTCCCTTGCTACTGTCTTCATGCCTTTGAGTGACACCACTATGACAGGCATTGAGTTGCTCTTACCAACACTGCAAGTTTGTGACTGACAGACCACTGATCTATGATGGGAAATGGCAACAGGCCCAGAAAAAAGCATTTCCCAGACTTCCTTGTGGACAGGGATGACTAAGTAAGTTCAGGCCAGTAAGACACAAAAGCTGGAGAATGGTTGCCAGGAAAGCTCCTTACAAAGCTGAGGTAGACTCAAGTCGTAGACTTGCCTCCTGCCCTTAACACCCTCCTCCTTCCTGGAACACAGAGGTGATAGCTGGAGGTGCAGTAATCAACTTGTGATCATGAGGCATCCTTAGAATGAAAGCCATATATTCAAGACACTAGAGTAGAGAGATTGTTAGCCACACCAGAGAGCTGCCATATCAGCACTGGACTCTACTGCAAATTTATTTAAGAAAAATAAAGCCTTAACTTTTTTAAACTACTGCTTTTATACTTCTATTACTTGCTGCCAAAAACATTTCACTGTCTTTGAAGAATTAAAATCTATGTATTTCCATTTAAAGGAACATTTACAATATAATGATGTTCTCCTGGTTCTTGAATCAAAATCGATGTTATTCAGGCCACATCCTTATGGGTTCTGAGGACCACAATCACAAACCCTCCGTCTTCCTCAACCTCCCATTTCATCTCTATCCACCACTATTGATGTTATAATTATTCCTTTAGGAGACAAATGTATTATTCTCAAACTATTATTTATAACAAGATCTAAATTGGAGATGTCCAGTTATTCTGGGGTTTTTTCTCTCTTTAAGACTAGTCAAGTGCAGCAGTGAGAAGAAGAGAAAGAGAATAATCTGGTTTTTTAAATATAGAAGCATATGATCAAAGCATCAATGAATGCAAGCTACACAAACATTTTTATTCATAACAATGGTAAAATTATCACCTGGTATTGATTTAAAAGTGAATAATGACTATCATAAAACCAACCCATATTTCTGGATAAAGATAGAAAATTGAACACATGTATCTAATATTACTCCACCTCCATGCCCCTCTAAAACTACAGTAAAGAAACATTTTTAAAAATACAAATCCTCAAGGAAGCGAGAATAGGAGAGGAGGCGACAATATACTGGAAGCTGGAAAGTACGTGCAGGAGGTGACTTAGCAAATCCAAGAAAGCTGACCTCTACACTGGCTAGGTCTACACTGGCTAGGTCTACACTGGTTAGTGAAGTGCACAAGGCAGGTCTAACCATTCTCAAGAATTCAGGAAGGAAACTAGGACATAACGCAATTGTGATTCAGATGTAGGGCACTGCTATGGCTAGCATTTTTTTATTTCACCAGGTTCATGAGGAAAATGATTTCACAGAGCACTAACTTTACCTAGAGATTTCAAGATAATCATGTATTCGTAGGTTCATCTCTAAAATACCAAGGATGGTACGTTTTATTTTTAGTAATCAGAGTTAATTTTCCATCAACTATCAACACGTGAATGCTACTGACTCCTACATCAACACCTGCTGCTTGGAGCTGGCTGCTCCTCGGCTTCTTTACCTGTGTAGCCCAGTCAGACCCTTCGACCTCAGCATGTACAAAACCAAACTCTCCTTCTTCCTCCTCCCTCCCTCCCTCAAGTGAGTTTCTTCTCATGTTTCCCATCTTAACCAATCACATTATCATCCATGCACTGCCCCATCTCAAAATCTGAGTCATCCTAGATTTCTCTCTTAACTGCTACCAATTCTCATCACTAAGACCCATCAATTCTACCTCCTGTATATCTCTGCTAACTATATGTAACTTACCCCAACCAACTGTACATGCTCCAAAAACACAACAGCATACAAAAGCTAGTGAGGGTACAAGCCAGAACAATGAGGCCAAATATGAGAGCAGGCGAAATAACTCCATGAGTGATACAATGTCTGCCCGGGCTCCTTAACGAGTACTGGCTCTGGAAGCCTGATTGCTCAATACAATGTCTGCCCGGGCTCCTTAATGAGTACTGGCTCTGGGAGTTTGATTGTTCTCAGGCGGTCTCAGCTTCAACATACTGGGACTGGGAGCAAAGTGCTGGACTGAGGGCAACCTAACAAACAATGTGTGCTTCCACACACCATACTGTACTCCTAAATGTAAGTCAACCACCCCAGCTGGTGCAGAAGAAAGTTACTCCACACTGAGGGAAAATCCATTTTCTCCCACTGACTCAGAGCTGCATAAACGGGCCCTTCCTGAAGGATTTTCATGGGTGGTTTTGACTATACATATCTCCTTACATAATTTTAAGAACCTCGCAAATGACAGAACTCCCTTCCACCCACTCCTACCATTCTCACCCTACGCCCTCCTCGGAGGCACCTGTCACCTCACATGGGGTCATCTTCAAGACTCTGTGTGCCATAGGTGTCTGCCCACAAAGTCTCCCTAAAACACAAAACTGGCCACGTGGCTCTCACTGTCTACACTGTGCAAAGGCTGCCTGACCTCCTCTCTCCACACTCCCCCGCTCTCGTCACCCTAACCAAGTCAGGTCCTCAGAGTCACCACGCCCTCTCATTGCTGGTCGTCTGCATGTGCTGCTTGTTTGCTCTTGCAGGATTTATATTCAAAAAGTTTGCAAATCCCTTCCGAAGTTCTAATTCAGTTTCCACTCAAGAGCACTGCATCTCTTTGACATCTCTGAGTGTGTTCTGAGCTCTGGGTAATGCAATATTGGGGAAGAGTGGAGTTCCCAGGTGCTCAGTCCACATAACCGGTGTAAGCTGAGTCTCTGCACCTCCTTGAAAACAGTCAGTGGCAAGGAGCTCATTCTCTCTGCATGTTCAGATGACTGGGCACGGCCATCAGAAAGGATAATTCTGTGAGCTCCTGTGGGGTCCATCATTTGGGCCTCTCAAGACTCTCTTAATGTCTTCAATTCACTTTGATGGCTTGGTCTTAAATCTTTCCACCTGGTTCACTCCCCTTTAACTATTCCATTAACATACGGTTAAGGACAAATACCTGAAGGAAATTTACCATTCTCATCACTTCCTCAACCACAACATGCAACAGAATGACTTGCAGAATTCAAAGCACACCACATGTAATACGATATTTTCTTATCTTTTTAATAATAAACTTGATTGTTTTTGAACATTCATTGCAGGTACCCATTTTTAGCAAATGGCCTTTTCCATGTTCACACCAAACCCCTCCAATTCCATCCTGGCAAGTGGTTACATTTTACTATCTCATGTATGCCAGCTAAATCAGAAGAGTCCCCTTTAATAAAAATTCCTGTGAGCTGTGTGGTGGTCCATATTTGCTCCACATGCCTAAGATTAGATGTCCCTCTAAGTAAAGCAAGAACTCCTGGCGCGGGAAGCTGAAGTAGACAGAAGGAAGCAGCTGGGCTCGGTGCCTGCTCCTAAAATCCTATCCAACAGGTAGTTTATGTGATATGCTACAGAAGGAAAAATGCCAAATCTGACAGGTGGGAATCTGTGATTTGTTTTGGCTGTAAAGACAAAGCCACTCACACACAGCCAGTTTCTTGGCCCCATTTGCTCCACATAAACAACTGTGGGCCGGGTATGGTGGCTCATGCCTGTAATCCCAACACTTTGGGAGGCTAAAGTGGGAGGATCACTTAAGCCCAGGAGTTTGAGGCCAGCTTGGACAACACAGCGAGACCCGGTTTGGAGAAACAATTTAGCAATACCTCGCCAAGGTGAACACCTCAGACCCAAAGACAAGCAGCTTCACTTCTAGGTGTCTATCCTAGAAAACTTCTTGTACATATGTGTGATGAGACATAGACAATGATATTTGTGTAGCAAAAACAAATGAAAACAATTTAATGGTTCCTTCATAGGGAGATGGATAACGAACAGTGGTTTATTCATACAAGGGAGTATTATACTATAAGATAATTAAAATGATGAACTGGAACTACATATGCCAACAGTGAAAACTAAAAAGTATAATGCTTAGCTTTTTAAAAAAGCAGTTATAAAAGGATATATAGATTATGGTTTCATATATGTGTATTTCTAACCCTTATTATTGTCACTGGATAGTCCAACTCTGTAAAACATTTGAAAAGATTTATTCTGAGCCAAGTATGAGTGACCATGGCCCATGACACAGTCGTCAGGAGACCCTGAGATCATGTGGGTGGGGCACAGCCTAGTTTTATACATTTTAGGGAGATAGGAAATATCAATCAAATACATGTAAGATGTACATTGATTTGGTTCATGTCAGGCCTCTGAGCCGAAGCTCACCCATTGTAACCTCTGTGACCTGCACATGTACATCCAGATGGCCTGCAGGAGCCAAGAAGTCTGGTGCAGCCAAAAAACCACAAAAGAAGTAAAACAGCCAGTTCCTGCCTTAACTGATTAACCAACATTACATGCCACCATTGTGACTTGTCCCTGCCCTACCTTAACTGATCAGTCGACCTTGTGAAATTCTTCTTCTGGACAATAAGACTTATGATCTCCCCACCATGTACCTTGTGACCCCCTCCTCTGCTAACAATAAATAACCACCTTTTACTGTAATTTTTCATTACCTACCCAACTCCTATAAAGCAACCCCTTCCCCATCTCCCTTCGACGCCTTTTTCAGACTCAGTCCGCCTGCACCCAGGTGATTAAAAAGCTTTATTGCTCACACAAAGCCTGTTAGGTGGTCTCTTCACACAGAGGCGCTTGACATTTGGTGCCATGACTTGGTTCGGGGGACCTCCCTCCAGAGATCAATCGCCTGTCCTCCTGCTCTTTGCTCCATGAGAAAATCCACTTACAACCTCAGGTCCTCAGACCAGCCCAAACAAAACACCTCACCAATTTTAAATTGGGTAAGTGGCCTCTTTTTATTCTCTTCTCTAACCTCTGTCGCTATCCCTCAACCTCTTTCTCCTTTCAATTTCCACGTCACCCTTCAATCTCTCCCTTCCCTTCATTTCCTTTTGCTTTCTGGTAGAGACAGAGAAGACACGTTTTATCTGTGGACTCCAAACTCTGGAGCTGGTCACAGACTCGGGAAGACAGTCTTTCCTTGGTGTCTAATCACTGCGGGGACGCCTGCCTGATTATTCACCCGCATTCCAGAAGTGTTTAATCACTGCGGGGACACCTGCTTTGATCCTCCACCTTGGTGGCAAGTACAACCTCCCCTGGGTGGCAAGTACCACCCCCCTCTCTTCGAGTCTCTACCCCCTCTTTTCTTGGAACTTACCTTTTTCCTATGGGCAACCTTCCACCCTCCATTCCTCCTTCTTCCGCCTTAGCCTGTGTTCTTAAAAACTTAAAACCTCTTAAACTCTCACCTGACCTAAAACCTAAGAGTCTTATTTTCTTCTGCAACTCCGCTTGGCCCCAATACAAGCTCGACAATGGTTCCAAGTGGCCAGAAAACGGCACTTTCGATTTCTCCATCCCACAAGACCTAGATAAATTTTGTCGAAAAATGGGCAAATGGTCTGAGGTGCCTTACGTCCAGGCATTTTTTATACTTCGTTCCCTCCCTAGCCTCTGCTCCCAATGCAGCTCATCCCAAATCCTTCTTCTTTCTCTCCTGTCCGCTTCTTCAGTCTCTACCCCAACCTCAGAGTCTTCTGAATCCTCCTTTTCTGCAGACCCCTCTGACCTCTCTCCCCCTCCCCAGGCCACTCCTTGACAGGCTGAATCAAGTCCCAATTCCTCCTCAGCCTCTGCTCCCCCACCTTATAATTCTTCTATCACCTCCCCTCCTCACACTCAGTCTGGCTTACAGTTTCATTCCATGACTAGCTCTCCTCCCACCTGCCCAACAGTTTCCTCTTAGAGAGGTGGCTGGAGCTGAGGGCACAGTAAGGGTTCATGTACCTTTTTCTCTATCAGACCTTTTCCAAATCAGTCAGCATCTGGGCTCTTTCTCATCAGACCCCACTAAATATATACAAGAATTCCAATATTTGACTCAGTCCTACAATTTAACCTGGAGTGATTTAAATGTCATCCTGACCTCTCCCGTCTCCCCAGATGAGCGGGAAAGAGTTTATACCCTAGCCCATTCTCACACTGACACCTGCTTGCATCGTGAGCCAGACCTCCAAGAAGGCATCAGGGCAGTTCCCCGAGATGATCCCCAAAGGGAATACCAGACAGGCTTCCCAGGTATAGCTAGGTGAGATTACATGGTCTCTTGCCTAGTTGAAGGGCTAAAAAAGGCAGCATACAAAGCTGTTAGTTATGACAAGCTTAAAGAAGCCACTCAAGGTAAAGATGAAAACCCAGCCCAGTTCTTGGCCCGCTTGGTGGCTACCCTTAGACGCTTTACAGCCCTAGACCCTCGAGGGCCAGAAGGCCATCTTATTCTCAATATGTGTTTTATCACCCAGTCAGCTCCTGACATTAGAAAAAAGCTTCAAAAATTGGAATCTGGCCCTCAAACCCCACAACAGGAATTAATCAACCTCGCCTTCAAGGTGTTCAACAATAAAGAGGCAGCCAAGCGGCAACGCATTTCAGAGCTGCAACTGCTTGCGCCTGCTGTAAGACAAACCCCAGCCATGCCTTCAGCACACAAAAACTTCAGAACAACCAAACCACAGCCTCCAGCTACTCCTTTAAATCCTCCTCATGGACCTTGATTCAAGTGCCGCAAAACTGGCCACTAGACCAAGAAATGCCCACAGCCCAGGATTCTTCCTAAGCCGTGTCCCACCTGTGCGGGACCCCACTGGAAATCGGACTGTCCAACTAATATCACAGCCACTTCTAGGGCCCCTGGAGCTCTGGATCAAAGCTCTCTGGCTGACTGCTTCTCAGATCTCGGCTTTGCGGCTGAAGACTGATGCTGCCCGATCACCTGGGAAAGCCCCCTGGACCATCATGGACGCCGAGCTTCGGGTAACTTTTACAGTGGAGGGTAAGTCCGTCCCCTTTTTAATTGATATGGAGGCTACCCACTCCACATTACCTTCTTTTCAAGGGCCTGTTTCCCTTGCCCCCATAGCTGTTGTGGGTATTGACGGCCAAGCTTCTGAACCTCTTAAAATTCCCCCACTCTGGTGCCAACTTAGACAACATGCTTTTATGCACTTTTTTAGTTATCCCCACCTGCCCAGTTCCCTTATTAGGCTGAGACATTTTAACAAATTATCTGCTTCCCTGGTTATTCCTGGGCTACAGCCACACCTCACTGCTGTCCTTTTGCCCAATTCAAGGCCTCTTTCACATCCTCCCTTTGTGTCTCCCCACCTTAATCCACAAGTATGGGATACCTCTACTTGTTCTCTGGCAACCGACCATGCACCCCTTACCATTCCATTAAAACCTAATCACCCTTACCCTGCTCAATGCCAGTATCCCATCCCACACCAGGATTTAAAGGGATGAAGCCTATTATCACTTGCCTGTTACAGCATGGCCTTTTAAAGCCTACAAATTCTCCTTACAACTCCCCTATCCTACCCATCCAGAAACCGGGCAAGTCCTACAGGCTAGTTCAAGACCTTTGCCTCATAAATCAAATTGTCCTTCCCAACCATCCTGTTGTGTCAAACCCCTATACTCTCCTCTCCTCAGTACCCCCTTCCACAACTCATTATTCTGTTATCGACCTCAAAGATGCCTTCTTTACCATCCCCTTGCATCCCTCCTCCCAACCTCTTTTCACCTTTACCTGAACTGACCCTGACACCCACCAGTCCCAGCAACTCACCTGGACTGTCCTACCCCAAGGTTTCAGGAACAGCCCACACTACTTTGGTCAGGCCCTCTCTCATGACTTTCTTTCTGCCCGTCTGCCTCCCAACTTATTCAATATGTTGATGAACTTCTTCTTTGCAGCCCCTCTTACCAATCTTCCCAGCAGAACACTATCCTACTTCTTCAACACCTCTACTCAAAAGGGTACCGAGTATCCCCTTCAAGGCTCAAATGTCTTCCCCTAGTGTTACATATCTCGGCATAGTCCTCCATCAACATACATGCGCTCTTCCTGCAGACCGTGTTCAGTTAATCTCCCAGGCCCCTATCCCGACCACCAAACAACAACTCCTTTCCTTCTTAGGCATTGTTGGATACTTGCAACTCTGGGTACCAAACTTTGTCATTCTAACCAAACTGCTTTACAAGCTCACTAAAGGTGATTTAACTGATCCCATAGACCCTAAGTCCTTTCCCCATTCTTCCTTTCATTCTCTCAAAAAGGCCCTAGAAACAGCTCCCACACTGGCACTCCTTGACTCATCTCAACCTTTTTCCGTCCACACAGCTGAAATACAAGGCTGTGCTGTTGGAGTGCTCACACAGGAGCCAGGCCCACAATCTATAGCCTTTCTATCCAAACAACTTGACCTCACAGTTCTAGGCTGGCCCTCATGTCTACTTGCAGTGGCAGCTGCTGCTTTAATACGTCTAGAGGCCCTCACAATCACAAGCTATGCTCCACTTACCCTCTACAGTTCTCACAACCTTCAAGCGTTAATGTCCTCCTCACACCTTTCACACTTACTGTCTGCCCCTCGACTCCTCCAGCTCTATTCACTCTTTATTGAAACCCCAACAGTAACTATTGCCCATGGGCCCGATTTCAACCCAGCTTCTCACTTAGCACCCAGCACAAGTCCTGAGCCACATGACTGTATCTCCCTAATACACATAGCATCTTCCCCCTTTCCTCATATTTCTATTTTTCCAATCCCAAACCCAGACCACACTTAGTTTATTGATGGCAGTTCCTCTAAACCCAGCCAAATCTCGCCAGCTAAAGCTGGTGATGCTGTTGTGTCCTGTACCTCTATTATCAAGGCTGCTGCACTTCCTCTCTCCACTACTTCCCAACAAGCGGAACTGATTGCTTTAAACCATGCACTCTCTCTCGCCAAAGGAATGCACATTAACATTTACACTGACTCCAAATATGCTTTCCACAGCCTCCATAACCATGCTGCCATTTGGACTGAAAGAGGTTTTCTCACCACACAGGGCTCTTCCATTATCAATGCCTCTCTAATAAAGGCCCTTCTTAAGGCTGCTCTCTTGCTGGCCAAGGCTGAGGTCATTCACTGTAAAGGACACCAGAAACCAACGGATCTTATTGCTAAAGAAAATGCCTACGCCAACAAAATAGCCAAGGAAATAACCAATGCCTCCACACCTGCTAATATTCCAGCCCCCACTCCAGAAGGCCAGTATTTTTCTTTCTCCTCTATGACTCCCACCTACTCTTCTTCTAAAAACCCACTCTACCAGTCTTTTCCAACTCAGGGCAAGAGGTTCTTAGACCATGGAAAATTCATTCTTCCTTAGCTTAATCCAGGAGACAAAGATTATTTTACTTATTATCTCTCCTGCGTAGGCTCTGCAATCAAAACTATTGAACTTCTCCGTTCAGACCGCCACTCACACCTATGGGAAAAGGGTAATATAATAGATCATTGGCTTAACAACAGGGAATCCCATTCATATGACAGACAATGGGGACAAAAAGCTTTGGTATGTAAAACATTATTCCTTTCCTGGCCTAAAAACTCATCGCCACCTACATTAAAGCTAATATGCCTGATTACTGTTTTTAGAGAACTTATTTTATTAGGGCAATTCCAAACTCAAAAATATGCTAACTGGCACCTTGTTAGCTACATAGAAATGCACCTTAGACCCGAAACTTACTAGACTAACTCATTATAAAATTTTCTTTAAGGTGTCCATGCAGTCCCTGGTCATAGTTGAAGCAGTCCTGAGAAACATCGCCCCTACCCCCATAATCCCCAGAAAAAACCGATATTTTCTTCATCTTTTCTTATAACTTTATATTTTATAAATAAAAAGACAGGAATGTCAGGCCTCTGAGCTGAAGCTCAGCCATTGTAACCCCTGTGACCTGCACATATATGTCCAGATGGCCTGCAGGAGCCAAGAAGTCTGGAGCAGCTGAAAAACCACAAAAGAAGTGAAACAGCCAGCTCCCGCCTTAACTGATTGACCAACCTTATGACATTCCACCATTATGACTTGTCCTGGCCCTGCCCCAACTGATTAATTGACCTTGTGACATTCTTCTTTTGGACAATGAATCTTATGATCTCCCCACCATGCACCCCGTAACCCCCTCCTCTGCTAACAATATATAACCACCTTTAACTGTAACTTTCCACTACCTACCCAAGTCCTATAAAGCTGCCTCTCTCCTACCTCCCTTCGCTGACTCTCTTTTCAGACTCAGCCCACTTGCACCCAAGTGAATAAATAGCCTTACTGCTCACACAAAACCTGTTTAGGTGGTCTTCTCTACGGACACACGTGACAGTTCAGAAAGGTGGGACAACTTGAAATGGGGTGGGTGGGGGTGTTCCAGGTCATAGGTAGATTTTAAAGTTTCTCATTGGCAATCGGTTGAAAGGGACAAGTTATTATCCAAAGACCTGGAATCAATAGAAAGAAATGTCTGGGTTATGATGATAAGGGATTGTGGAGACCAAGGTTTTATCATGCAGATGAAGCCTCCAGGTAGCAGGCTTCACAGAATAGATTGTAAATGTTTCTTATCAGACTTAAGGTCTGTGTGGATGTTAATTCCGGTTAGCTCTTCCTGAAATCAAGAAGGGAGGGGGGTACAGTGAGGCATATCCAACCCTCCCTTCCCATCATGGTCTGAACCAGTTTTTTTCACGTTAACTTTGCAATGCCCTGGCCAAGAGGAGGTGTGCATTCAGATGGTTGGAGGGCCTTAGAATTTTATTTTTGGTTTACATTAGCTAGAAAGAGGGAGAGAGGGGGAGAGAGAGTGTGTTATGGATACACACATACTGGGTACTTTGACAGACACTGGAAGGGCTCACTGAGCCTTCTTGGCAGCTACCTGGAGACCTGCCTGGAGCCTGGAAAGCTAAAAACAACCTTTCCCAGAAATCTTTGGAGCCAGTTTTTGCAAGGGACTTGGGGACTGTGAAGAAGATGCACCTGGGTAAGTGTTAGTGGCAGAAATGAACAACTCGAGGCAGAGGCCATGCACAGGACGGAGCTCTTCTGGCAAGCACAGTACTGGACCCATATGGTCCCTCCAGGGCGAGTGAGCTTCTGCATCTAGTCTAGTCCCCAGGTCACTCATGCTAAGCTGTGGTGGTAGGGGTGATGGCAGCTTGCTCATGTGGCACTGGGGCTGTATACGTGTCTCCTAGGGTCAGTGGCAGCAGTGTTAGCTCCGTCACTGTGGCAGGAGCCGAAGGGATCTGGGATCAGTGACTTTATGTGACCAGTTTTGTAGAACAGTTGTCAGCCTTGTTCCTGGATTTAACCTAGAAGCTCTTCCTTTAGCCCTGCCAAGGATTCTTGAACTATTTAATACACCTTAGAAAATGCATTTTTCCTTAAACTATTAATAGGTAGAGTTAGGTCTATTGTTTGCACCAAAGAACACTGGCTTATAGAAGAGAGTGATCCGCCTCTACCTCAGGGTACTGATTGGCTCAGAAGAAGGAAATAGGGAAAGAAAATAGGGTGGGGGCGATGGAGCTTTGTGTATGTCACTATTTATTTCTCTGAAAAAGACAGGGAGATGTGTGAAGCAAATGTGGCAAACATATAGTTACTCTTTGAGGTGTTTTTTGTGGGTATCTGAAGCAATATTTTTGTGCTTTTCTAGATGTTTAAAATATTTTATTATTTAAAAATAATGTTTAAGGCTGAGCTTGGTGGCTCATGCCTGTAATCCCAGTACTTGGGAAGGCTGAGGTGGGTGGATCCCTTGAGCCCAAGACCAGCCTGAGCAACATGGCAAAATCCCATCTCTCCAAAAAAAAAAAAAAAACAACAACAACAAAAATTAGTCAGGCACAGTGGCACACACCTGTAGTCCCAGCTACTCACAAGGCGGAGGCGAGCGGCTCACTTGAACCCCGGAGGTCGAGGCTGCAGTAAACTGTGATCACACCACTGCACTCCAGCCAGGATGACAAAGCAAGACCCAGTTTCAACATAATAATAAATAATAAATAGTATTATTTTTAATAATATTATTAAATATTATTAAATAATAAAATAATATTTATAAATAATATTAATAATTACTTTTATTATTTTATTATTAAATAAGAAAATATTTATTATTTATTATATTTTATTTATATTATTTATTTTATATATTATGTATAATAAATAATATTTATTATTATTTTAAAAATACATACAAGTGATGAAGTAGGCAAAGATTTCTCTAAAAGGACACAAAAAGCAATGACTATAAAAGACTGACAAACTGAACTACATTAAAATCGAAATTCATTAAAATTGAACGTCATCGTGATAAACTTCTGTCCTGCTAAAACATGATTAAGGTGGAAACAGCAAGCTACAGCTGGGGAGGATCTTCACAATCCATATACCTGGAAGAGGATATGCAGCCGAAGATGCTAGCAACGCCTACAAATCAATCAGGAAAAGACAACCCAATATTGAACAGCACTTCCAAAGTGGATATGCACATAGCCAAAAAATACAGAAAACATGCTCAGGATGGAAGAAGTAAAAAATTATAAGGAAAATACATTGTACGTTTTATATACTAATTCGTTGTTAGCATTCAACATATTTTATTACAGTTTTTGAATAGGAAGGACATTCCTATGAAATAAAATTCAAAAGGTAAAACTGAGCTCACAGTGAAAACACCCTCTTTGCCCCCTCAACAACACAGTTCCCCTCCCTGGGTCATTGTTACAAGTTCTTGTATGTCTTTTCCAGAGAGACTCTAGCATGTAGAAGTAAACATACACATGCTTATGTATATTCATACATGTGTGTATTCTCCCCTTTTTAATAAAAACACAGACACAAACACTCCCAACACTATACTTTTTTTTTTTTCACTTAACGATGTATCCTGAAAAGTCAGTCCATATCAGTACACAGTTTCCTTATATTTAAAAACGAATGCATAGGCCGGCCGCGGTGGCTCACGCCTGTAATCCCAGCACTTCGGGAGGCCGAGGCGGGTGGATCACCTGAGGTCAGGAGTTCGAGACCAGCCTGACCAACATGGAGAAACCCCGTCTCTACTAAAAATACGAAATTAGCTGGGCATCGTGGCACATGCCTGTAATCCCAGCTATTCAGGAGGCTAAGGCAGGATAATTGCCTGAACCCGGGAGGTGGAGGTTGCAGTGAGCCGAGATCACGCCATTGCACTCCAGCCTGGGCAACAAGAGTGAAACTCTGTCTCAAAAAACAAACAAACAACAAAAATGAATGCCTAATATTCCATCATGTGGATGTACCATACTTTCTTTAAGCAATACATTGGGCCTGTTTAAACTTTTTATTCCATTTCATTAATCTGGCTGTCAATACATTGCACACATACATAGTGTTTCGACTGTAGTAGCTTTAAATATATGTTGATATGTGTCAGGGCTTGTTCCTACCAACCCCCAGCCACTACTATTCTTTATCTGAATTTTTCTAGCTATTCTTGTTTATTTTTCCATCTGAACTTTAGAATCTGGTTATTTTTTTTTTTTTTTTTTTTTTTGAGGCGGAGTCTCACTGTTGCCAGGCGGGAGTGCAGTGGCGCGATCTCAGCTCACTGCAACCTCTGCCTCCCAGGTTCAAGCGATTCTCCTGCCTCAGCCTCCTGAGCAGCTGGGACTACAGATGCGTGCCATCACGCTCAGCTAATTTTTGTATTTTTAGTAGAGACGGGGTTTCACCATGTTGGCCAGGATGGTCTCTATCTCTTGACCTCGTGATCTGCCCACTTCGGCCTTCCGAAGTGCTGGGATTACAGGCATGAGCCACCACGCCTGGCCAAGAATCTGGTTCTTAAAAGTTCCTCTTGGAATTTTTCCTGGGATTACGTTAAACTGGTAGCCTATTTTAGGGAGAACCGATATCTTTTAGATATTTAGTCCTCCTGCCCCTGAACATGATAAGCTTTTCCATTTATTTAGGTCTTCTTTTTGTTGTCTTTAGTGATGCTTAAAAGTTTTGGTTTTTTTTCACATAGATTTTGTACATTTTCTGCTAAGCATTTTCCTTGATGTTTAATCTTTTTTATTGTTAGTAAACAGCTGGAGTCCTTCCTTCCTTCTTTCCTTCATTTATTTATTTATTGAGTTTCCTTCTGTTGTGCAATGGCGTGATCTCGGCTCACTGCAACCTCTGCCTTCTGGGCTCAAGTGATTCTCATGTCTCAGCCTCCCAAGTAGCTGGGATTACAGGCGTGCAGCATGCCCGGCTAATTTTTTGTATTTTTAGTAGAGACAGGGTTTCTCCATGTTGGCCAGGCTGGTCTCGAACTTATGGACTCAAGTGACCTGCCTGCCTTGGTGGCCTCCCAAAGTGCTGGGATTACAGGTGTAGGCCACTGCGCCCAGCCTTCCTTTGTATTTTCTAACTGGTGGTTGTTTGCATAGATGGCGGCTTTTGATTCCCATTTATTAATATTAAACCCACACACCTTACTGAATTATTTTATTAGCTGTAGTAAATTTTGTCAGTTAATTATTTTGTGTTTCTCACTTATGCAATCAAGTCACTTGAAATGATGATAATTTTACCTATTTTCCAGTTAATAAGCCTCTAATTTCTCTCTCTTAACTAGTGGTGTTGACTAAACCACCAGAACAACGTTAAATGATGATGGTAATAGTATATGTGATTATCTTATTCTTGAATTCAACAGGAATACATTTCATGTTTTCCATTTAAGCATTATACTATCTTTGAGGTTGAGGTGGATATATCTGATCATGCTAAGAAAATAGGCATCTATTTCTATTTCACTACAATCTAGTTATTATCCAGATGGATATTGAATTTTGTTGAATCCATTCCAGTAGCTGAGGAAATGGATTATGACTTTTCTCTTTAAATCTATGACCACCAAGAACACATCTGCAGTTGAATGGGGTTGGGTTTATCGGCTCCTTGCAAGGAGGAGGAAAGTAAACCAAAAGGAACTATGGGATGTCTCACAAGAGGGTGTTAAAAAGGACTCTTTATAGGACAGGGCTTGTTTTAGTAGATTTGGGGGAGGTTGCAAGAAAATGGGGATTTCCTCTCAATGGGATGATGTCGGGAAGTAGGGGCAATTCTATAATTGTGTATATTTTAGATAATTCTTATGGAGAAGACGAGAAGAATAGAGTGAGGCTAAAGCTATGACGGTGAAAAGCATTAGTCATTTGTATCAGCCAGGATGGGGAGGTTTCCTGCGGTTTGGATAATGTTCTTGTTTTGTCTGTGCTCAGAGATCATTATGGAGTGGTCTGATCTCTGCCAAAAGACACGAGGGATTTCTGGGAGCACCACAAGCTAAGACAAAGACATGGAACAGAGTCTTTCCTAGAGCTTTCAGAGAGAGTACAACACCTTGATTTCAGACTTCTACCCTCCAGAACCGTGAGACAATACATTTCTGTTGTTTTAGGCTACCCTGTTTGTGGTATTTTCTTACTGCAGTCCTGGAAAACTAATAAAGATGCCAACTTTAAAGTATACAGAGTTGCCAGTTGCGGTGGCTCACGCCTGTAATCCCAGCACTTTGGGAGGCCAAGGTGGGCGGATCACGAGATCAGGAGTTCAAGACCAGCCTGGCCAATATGGTGAAATCCCATCTGTACTAAAAATACAAAAATTAGCCAGGCGTGGTGGTGCAGAGCTGTAGTTCCAGTTACTCGGGAGGCTGAGGCAGAAGAATCGCTTGAACCCGAAGAGCCGAGATCGCACCACTGCGCTCCAGCCTGGGTGACAGAGTGAGACTCCATCTCAACAACAATGGCAACAACAACAACAAAACAAAGAACATACAGAGTTTTTCAAGATTCTTCTGGGGGCCCGTGAGCCCAAAAATTTGCTTTAGATCAGTGTTTCTCAAAAGCTTACATAAACCATGTGATTCTCATGCATTTCACTCCCTTAGGGGTTTATTTTAAAAGTCATTTTCTGGGCTTCTTCCAGACCCACATAATGGGTGTGGGCCCTGTATTCTGCATTTTCAAACAAGTTTCCCAGGTTCTTCTACATCCCAAAACACTGCTGAAGTAGGAAGATACCTGGGCTGTAGACAAAAATTTGGATTTAATCTTTACCCAGTCTATTACTGAGCAAGTCTTGTCAATTTAGGCAATTTAAGAGTTAAAGTGTACACTCTACTGGGAAAATCCCCGGTTCCAAGTCGAGTGACTCTGAAATTTATTCACTGCACAGCATTTGTAAAATTGCTTCTTCTTTTTTTTTTTTTTTTGAGACAGAGTCTCACTCTGTTACCTAGGCAGGATGGAGTCCAATGGCGTGAGCTTGGCTCACCACAAGCTCCGCCTCTCAGGTTCAAGCGATTCTCCTGCCTTGGCCTCCCGAATAGCTGGGATTACAGGCATGCACCACCATGCCTAGCTAATTTTGTATTTTTAGTAGAAACGGGGTTTCTCCATGTTTCTCAGGCTGGTCTTGAACTCCTGACCTCAGGTGATTTGCCTGCCTCGGCCTCCCAAAGTGCTGGGATTATAGGCATGAGCCACCTCGCCTGGCCCAGAACAAACTTCTTAAGGGTCTGTCTAGCTCTGACATTCCACAAGGCTATGAAATGGTCCAGGAAGAGTTAGGGCAGGATGGCAAATTCAGGTGCCTTTGACTTTGGGAAGATGGAGGCAAAGCACTTTGTCCATCCAATTACTTTGTATTTATTTATTTATTGTTTGTTTGCCCAGACTCCAGTCTTGACAATTACTCTGCATTTTAAAACACTGTTGGGGCTAACCCTACCAACCTCTCCCCTGACCCGAGACAGAGTTAGCAGCTAATGTAGCTACTTCCCACTTTCTGTCACCCCTGCAAACAGGGCAAACAGGGATGCTGTATCTGGAAGCTCTAGGGGCAGGAGCCAGTCCTATTTATCCTTTGTAAAACACCTAGCAAAACGAGATGATTTTAGGTCAACCCTCCTGAAACTTGGCTTGGCTGCAGTGACAAGTTTTGTACCTACAGGAAGATCAGCATTTCCTTCCGTTCTTCCTCTGCCAATCCATCCCTGACTGGTCTTTTGCCCTCTTTTGAGTAAGAAACTCCTTGTTTTAGAGTGTTTCTGGATTAACGCTGGAAAGGGACCAACTCTGAGCCCATAGTGTGGATCCCATGTAACAGTACTCTTACCAGAAAAGGGGTTTCACCCCAGACCCCAAGGGCAGGTTCTTGGATCTTGCACAGGAAAGAATTTAGGGTGAGTCGCAAAGTACAGTAAAGTTTAAATGGTTTATTAGAAACTAATCTATTAGAGTAGGGTATCCTCAGGAAGCAAGAGGAAGAACGCCCTACCTCAAATGTAATGCTTGTTTGTGTAGGATATTAGAGCTAAGAATAGTGTATTTTATTACAAAGGCTTGTGATCGGCTTGTGACAGACTATCTGTATTGTTATTCTCTTGTGCAATTAATTTCAGAAAGAATTTATGAGTGGACTATTATCTTTAGAGCAAAATATAGTTTAAATTAAGAATGCCTTTTTCCAGGCCAGGCGCCATGGCTCAAGCCTGTAATCCCAGCACTTCGGGAGGCTGAGGTGGGTGGATCACTTGAAGTCAGGAGTTTGAGACCAGGCTGGCCAATATGGCAAAACCCCGTCTCTACTAAAAATATAAAAATTAGCCAGGTAAAGTGGCGCACATCTGTAATTCCAGCTACTTCGAAGGCTGAAGCAGGAGAATCACTTGAACCCGGGAGGCAGAGGTTGCAGTGAGCCGAGATGGTGGCATTGCACTCCAGCCTGGGCAACAGAGTGAGACTCCATCTCCAAAACAAAAACAAAAACAAGAATGCCTTTTTCCATTAACTTGTTTCCTCAACAATAAACATCTTGTGATCAAGAGTGCTGACTTCCTGGGAATGCAACCCAGCAGGTCTTGCCTTCCCCAGCCTTTATTTAGGATAGTGTCACTCTAGTTAGGACACCTCTGACAATACAACTCAAATCATTGGTAGCTCATGAAAAGAACTCACTCTTTGACTAAACTTGAGTCAGGCTCCTCTCAGTCCTCGTTTTGACTAGGCCCTGACCCTGGGCTGGTCCTTAACTCACTTAGTTCAGTTTTAGCAAGAATCCTGCTGAGTCAGTTCAGCAAAAATCCCCTACCCTTGGTATCTGATCACCTCGGCTTGTGTTCAGCAAAAATCTCCCTAACCTTTATGTGTCCTCTTAGTAATTTTCCATCTGCTGACTTCCACCCTGTTGCTTAACTATAAATCTCCACCTGTCCTTGTATTTGATGTTAAGCCTGATTTTTTTGCCCCTATTGCATAATCCCTATTGCAGCTGTTCTTGAATAAAGTCTCTCACCTTAACAATTGTTTGAATAATTTTTCTTTTAGTGCCATTTCCTACTGTAACATGCTGTGTGAGTCTCAATTTTCTGATCCATATAATGGAGAAACTAATACTTCCATCTCCGAGGCATGGAGATCAACTGAAATTAAAAATAACTTGCATATGGCTGGGCAGGGTGGCACACACCTGCAATCCCAGCACTTTGGGAGGCCAAGGCGGGCAGATCACTTGAAGTCAGGAGTTTGAGACCACCCTGGCCAATATGGCGAAACCCCGTCTCTACTAAAAATACAAAAATTAGCCAGGTGTGGTGGTTCACGCCTGTAGTCTTAGCTACTTGGGAGACTGAGGCAGGAGAATCGCTTGAACTCAGGAGGTGGAGGTTGCAGTGAGCTGAGATCACACCACTGCACTCCAGCCTGGGCAAGAGAGTGAGACTCCATCTCAAAAAAATAAAAATAAAAATAAAAAACTTGGATAAAGTGTAAAGATAAAAATCACTATTCTTGGGCAGGGGTCCCAGCTGTAGCCCAAGCTGGAGAACTAGACTGGCTTGGCATTAATTTGCTTGGGGCAGGAGAAGGGTCATCTGAAAGATATGGGAAAAGCTGAGGTTGCCCCTGGGAAGACTAGGGAAGCCTGCCCCCGGGCCAGCCCCTTGAATATGTCCAACTGAGGAGGTGGAAAGAAGTTCAAGGTAGCCAGGGAGACAAAAGTTGTTCACTTTGGTGCACATGTGGAACCAACATGGGACAAACAGGCATTTTGTGCTCGTCCAGGGAACATGACTTCTTCGGCTCCCACACAATTTGTAGCTGCAGGAGTGGCAGAGCACCAGAGTGGATGCAGGCCCAGATGTTCTCTGGGTTAGGTGTTAAGGACTTGTGGGAGTCATCAGGCAGCAGGCATTTGCCCCAGTGTCAGAGGTGTTTAAGCCAGAATTACTCCATCTTGAATAAGGGCTGGGTAAAATGAGGCTGCATTCATAGGAGGTTAGGCATTCTAAGTCACAGGATGAGACAGAAGGTTGGCACAAGATACAGGTCATACAGACCTTGCTGATAAAACAGGTTGCAGTAAAGAAGCTGGCTAAACGCCACCAAAACCAATATGGCAATGGGAGGGACCTCTGGTGGTCCTCACTGCTCATTATGCACTAATTATAATGCATTAGCATGCTAAAAGACACTCCCACCAGCAAGCACCATGACAGTTTACAGACGCCATGACACCATCATGAAATACTCTATATGGTCTAAAAAGGGGAGGAAGCCTCAGTTCCGGGAACTGCCCACCCCTTTCTCTGAAACTCATGAATAATTCAACCCTTGTTTAGCATATAATCAAGAAATAACCAAAAAATGGGTAACCAGTAGCCCTGGAGCTGCTCTGCCTATGGAGTAGCCATCCTTTTACTTCTTTGCTTTCTTAATAAACTTGTTTTCACTTTACTCTATGGGCTTGCCCTGAATTCTTTCTTGCATGAGATCCAAGAACCCTCTCTTAGGGCCTGGATCGGGACCCCTTTCTGATAACACCAGGAGACACCCTGGGTGGATTTCCTGAACCGACCGATAGATGAGCCTTCCACGCGGGAGACCTGGATCCTTATCGTCTTTGTGGCCCCTTCCATCTGCACGTGCGGACGAGGTCCGGGTCGCACTCGGGCGGTCAGCCTGGCACGCACAGCGCCGGCGTGCAGGGGGCCTTGGGTGCCACCGAGTCCGGGAGGAAATCTAGGCCGCCATCCGTCCGGAGACTGGCACCTGTGACCACCACCCAACATGTATTGAACAAGGGCTTGGAGGTCCTTTCTCTAAGGCCGCACCGATAAACGATTACCGACTGTTGACCTCACGGCCCCTTCGCTTCCGGCCGCACCGCCTCGCTGCCCACGCCTGCGCACTCAGGCACCGCAGGTAGGAGGAACGTACCAACTGCGAGGCGGGGGGTGCGCGCGAAGACCCCCGCAGGCTGCGCTTCCGGAAGTAACCCCTGGCGCATCCCGGAATCCAGAGCGCCCACTACGGCCTTTGGCCAGGCCCCCTGGGCGCGTTCCGGGAGCTCAGGCCTGCGGCGCTGGGAGAAGCACGCTGGCCAACAAGTTGGGTGGTGGGCACGCGGCCCAGGGGTCAGGGGCCGCCAGGCGGCGGGCGGCGGGGCTGCGGCTCTTACCTGCCGAGGAGGCGCCGGCTCTGCGGTGCGGAGTTGCGCCGGACTTCCCAGCTTGGCCAGTGGCTCCGCAGGCTGCCGGCTCCACCCCTCAGGTAAGCGGGGACTGGGCCGCCGAGGTTCAGGGAAGGGGGCGGCTGTCGGGGCCCGTGCCGGCCCCGGGGGGCCACCTGCTGGGCCAGCGGTGCCCTCGCGCCGAAACACACTGGGAGAGGCCAGAATCTTCCGGAACAGCCAGCCCTTACCCATCTCTCCCTCTGTGCCGAGAACTGCCCTGAAATACTGTGGTATTAATTAACTCGTTTAACACTAACAATCTCATGAGGCGGGTGCTGTTACTATTCCCGTAATGTAGACGAGGAAACCGAGGCGTGTGCTGGAGCAGGATCACGGCCGTGCTCAGAGACGGGCTCTGGATGCCATGCTCTGACTCCATTGTTAGCCCTAAGCTTCCAGAAAGTAGCAGAGTGCTGCCGTGTCGTTTGTAACAGATCTCACTTTGTGTCATTTTTTTTGCACAGTATGAAACCTAATGATGCATGATTATTATTTAAAACATCTTGCTTAGACTTTATAAGTAGTCAAATTTGCGTGTGGGACAAAACCCCAAAACATGCAATGGCTTGCTCTCCTCTTTTCCTTTCACACGTTCATCTCCTCCTATCCCTTTCTCTCACCACCTTTCAATCTTCTCACAGATGTTGTGGAGGAAGATGAGACTTGAGGGCCCAGCAGGTGCTTAAAATCCCCTGCCTGGTGGGGGTGGAGTAGACACTCTGTCCCCCTGCAGTGCTGGAGTTGAGAGCAGAGGGGCTGGAGAGGGACTGGGCGGAGTGAGAAAGGCCTGGCATAATCATGGAATGCCCAGGGTGGGGTTCTACTTCTCTTGCAGGCACAAGAGAAGTAGAAGAGTGGCCGCTTTCCTTCTGGGCACGCACTTGGGAAAAGGCTTGGTGAGAGCAGCGAGAAGAATAGGTCTAATTTCTTGAGCCAGTGTGCGGAGGTGCTTCCCAGCCCAGGCTAAGCCAGATCACTCAGCCAGCCGCTGGCTGCCTTTACAGATGTACGGCTCCCCGTGAGCAATCAACATGCCTGGCTCTCAGGCATAAGCTGCCTCACTTCCCTTCTGCACAGCACTCCAGGACTTGCCTGCTACCAGACCCATCCTACTTTCTCTGTCAGGAAAAATGAGAGTTCTTCCTGGTCTCTTGAGGCCAATCCCTTCCACCGCCTGTGCCCTGGATCCCTTTCTCCAGGAAGCTTCTCTTCCCTGTGTAGTTAGCCTCCCCGCTCTTCCCAGGTCACCTTCTCTCTGTTTAGGGACAGAGCCAAGCCTTTTCCCTCCCATCCCCACCTCCAGCATTCCCGGTTCCTGCTTCTCCCCCACTTCCTGCTGTACCGCCCACTGAAGGGACCTTTGACCCCGCTGACCACTGCTTTTGGAAAGTCTTTTCTTGGTTTCCCTAACTTCACTTTACTTTGGTTTTTCCTTGTCTCTCCCCTCTGCCTCTCAGTCACCTTTGAGATCTGCTCATCCTCTCACCTCCCTGTATTGTCAGCATTACCTGGGCAGCCCCCTCTGGTGTTTTCCTTCAGTTTCTCTAGAAACTTGCCTGAAGATTTGCCCCAAAATAGCCCACATGGACCTGTATGAGGAAAGAGGCTCACTGTGGAGGCGCTCTCCATCATTCCTCCTCTTCCACTTGAGGCTTAGGCATGGGCCACCTCCTGAACAGCTCTCCCCACAGTCTCCTCCATGCATTGTGCCATCACCCCGCCCTGCCGTCACCCCGGCCTGGCCCGCTTTCCCTTTTGCCTCCCAGGGATGTGCCTGCTTCCCATGTGGCCTGGCTAGGGCGCTTTCCTGACTGCTGCCCACATGATCGACTATGGGCAGGCGTGCAGCCCAAAAGGCCGTGCTTCAGCTTAGAAGCCCTTGGAATCTTGTCTTGTTGTGGTTGTAGGCCTCCAATGTGTTGTCAGCTGTGGTGATGTGTGTCACAAGTAACTTCTTTTTTTTGAGACAGGGTCTGGCTCTGTTGCTCAGGCTGGAATGCAGTGGTGCAATCACGGCTCACTGCAATCTCCACTTCCCTGCTCAAGCCATCTTCCTGCCTCAGACTGCCAAGAAGCTGGGACCACAGGCACAGGCCATCACAGCTGGCTGATTTTTTTGTATTTTTTTTGTAAAGACAAGGTTTCGCCATCTTGCCCAAGCTGGTCTCAACCCCCTGAGTTCAAAGCAGTCCACCCACCTTGGCTTCCCAAAGTGCTAGGATTACAGGCGTGAGCCACCACACCTGGCCACAAGTAACTTCTTAGTTATAAAGTACTGAAATTTATCAATGACTTTCTTTTTAAAATTTACGTTTTAGATTCATTTGGATTCAAGGTTGGCTCTCAACAGTGCCAGCTGCACTGTCATCCTAAAGTACTTCTGTGGAAGAGAACATGGTGGTGTCACTGTTGTACCAGTGATGACACAAAATCCCAGATCTACCTGACGGGCCTGCGAGGGTTGAAGATTGTGAAGCAATAGCCTAAGGTAAACAACACCTTGCAAGACGGGTCTAAGCTCTTCAGTGTAATAGACCCTGTTTCTCAGTAGGTCAGCCCGGGGGCCCCCCAGGGATCCCTCCCCGCCTCATAGCACCATACCCCACTTTCCCCCTGGTCTAATGATGAGCCCATTTCTAGGTTGTCGTCTCATCCTGAGCCCCAAGTGCCAGCCAGGCAGCTACTCTCCTCTGTTCATATCTTGAAGGCAGAGTGCTGGCTCATAGTAGACATTTGATGAATTTCTGTTAAATGATTGAGTGAATCAAGAGTATCTGCAGAGTATAGCATTTATGATGAGACAAAGCTAATTGGGAAACAGAACAAGATTGGTGTCCTGGGGTAACTGGGTAGGTCTTAAGATGAAGATTTTGGGGTGTGCTGGGTGCAGTGGCTCACACCTGTAATCCCAATACTTTGGGAGGCTGAGGCAGGGGGATTGCTTGATCCCAGGAGTTCAAGACCAGCTTGGGCAACATGGTGAAATCCCGTCTCTACAGAAAACACAAAAATTAGCTGGGTGTGGTGGTGCACATCTGAAGTCCCAGCTACTTGGGAGGCTGAGTTTGGGAGGATTACTTGAGCCCAGGAGGCAGAGGTTGCAACAAGGTAGATCATGCCACTGTACTCCAGCCTGGGTGACAGAGCAAGACCCAGTCTGAAAAAAAAAAAAAAAAAATACTTTGGAGGGTGACCCCGTTCTGCAGATGGCCTCTGGAGGCCTGGATGTTCACACTCTGGGGTTGCAGTTTCCTCAATCATGAAGTGAGAGTTAAGTCCCCTCCAGTGTGACATCCAAGAGCAGTTGTGGGCCCAGGACAGCAGCCTGTGTTTCCTTTGCAGCTTTACCTAGCCCCTACACAAGCGCCACCTTGCAGTAGGCCTTCAGTTCTTGGATTTATTGGTGGCTGAAAGTTCTTGCGAGATGGACTTGAAGTTGTTGCCACTTAACCCTTCTGAGGTTCTTCTGGCTGGGAGGAGCTCCTCTTTCTGGCCAGAGTCTTGCTTGAGCCTTCTTAGCCATCTCGTCACCTGTTATAGGCAGCCCTGCCATCTCTGGTGACCCTTTTTAAACATTACCCTGGTGAGTAATGTTTAGCATCACTCATTGTCAGATCTTTTTTATCTTTTTTTTTTTTTGAGTTTCAGTACCAGTAAGTCTTTATGTATTCATTATATCTTTCCAGGGAAAGGAGAAGGGAAGTGAAAAGGGTCAGCATGTGTGTTGCAAAGTGATTAGAAAATGGGAAAGGAAGTACCTGGTACAGAAAAATCAGCCATCCAATAGATGCACCCCAGAGATGGAGTAACCAAAGCCCAAGGGGCCCTGGTCTCCTGCAGTTCAGGACTGAGGGGCAGGGATCAGGGAAGGTACAAGCCTTTCTACCCTCCCTCCCTGCCCCTAAATTCAAGATTTCACATAAAGCTTTGGTTTCTAGCAGTAAACATGGGGTTACATTCATCTGTCTCCTTTTAAACAATCTTGTAGCCACTTTGACATAAGTTCTTGCACCGGGCCGGGCGTGGTGACTCACACCTGTAATCCCAGCACTTTAGGAGGTCAAGGAAGGAAGATTGCTTGAGCCCAGGAGTTGGAGTCCAGCCTGGGCAACATAGTGAGACCTTGTCTCTACAAAAAAATTAAAAGAATTAGTCAGGTGTGTTGGTGTACACCTGTAGTTCCAGCTACTTGGGAGCTGAGGTGGGAGGATCGCTTAAGCCTGGGAGGTTGAGGCTGCAGTGAGCCAAGATTGTACCACTCCACTACAGTCTGGGCGACAGAGCAAGACCTTGTCTCAAAAAAAAAAAAAAAAAGTTTCTTGCACTTGCGTAAAAGTTCCTAAGTGACTTAGATATATACTCATATTCCTTTGCCTGGTCTCCTGACCCCACTTCTACGTGGAAGGCCCCCGGTTGCTTCTCCCTTCTTTGAGATTACAGATTAAGTAGGTTTGATCCATCCCAATAAAGCAGTGTCTTAAGTGTTTGGGGTGAACCACATTGACTCAGGTTTGGAACAAGAGATGGAGGGTTCCTGACTTCTTCAGGCTGTTCTCATACATCATTTAAGAGTTGCAGAGACAGCCTGAGAATTCAATATATGCGTGTGTGGGTATGTAGGTTTTCTTTTGGGGTAGGTGAATGGAGAAGAAGGTACGGTAGAAGTCAAGTTTTTAGGGCAGAAGATCTGGTCCAAAATAGGAAATAGAGGAAGGGGAACACAAAGAAAGGATAGTTCAAAATCCCTACTTCAATATGGGGGTCCCCCAAACTCATGTTTTACATCCTTTTTGCCTGGTTCAGAACTTTCTGTAAAGATGCTTTGGCCATTTTTCTCTCAATACAAAAAAGTTTGTAAACAATAAAACCCCAAAAAAACATGGAGAAAGACCAACACAGTATAGTTACACAAACTAGGCCACCTAGCAGTCACCAACTGCTACAAAGTCCAGACAGATACAGGAACTAGAGGGGGCAGCGTCAGGGGGAAACAAACCCAGGATCAGATGTGCACCCCTGAACACGTTCTATCGTGCTTGTCCCATTCTAGCCCAGCAAGGGAGGTTTGTGGTGATCCTATAGCGTGTAAATGAAGCCCCCTTTTCTCCTTAGTTACCGTGATGCTGAATCAGCGCTGCAGCAGGGCAGGACGCTGGCTGTGCACACCACATGAAGAGGCCCTCTCTTACGGGGCTCCCTTGAACCCAAGAATTTGGAAACGTTAAGAATTTTAGTTCTTGCTTCATATATCCTTCCCTGGACAGCACAGGATGGGTACAGGGGCACTGGTCTTAAAATTTAGCGTTCCCAAGTCACGTCTTTTACGAATACACACGCATACCCTCTGTTGTGGATGGTAGGCCTAGCACAGTCCAGTGAAGGACGGACCTGGTGTGTGAAGCAAGTCCCATGCCCTAGGATTAGGAAACCCTCACCTAACCGTGGTGTCCCTTGGTGTCTCTGCACCTTAGTCTAATTTTCAATCTTCCACTAGCCAGAGATCAAGTCTTGATGCTATCCAGTTGAAACCTAGTCTCCCGTGAAACATTTTCAAGGTCGGGGGGTTTCAGGAGGACACTGTGGCAGAAAAGCCAAGTCTCTGGCAAACATGAGGTAGTTCAATAGGCTGGGTCCTCCATATAGTTGCTCTTCGTGGTTAGAAAAACAACCAGAAGTATTCCTGCTATGCAGGCCTGGAGCTTCTGCCGACTTATCCCTGAGGTTGCTCAGTACCTGAGAAGAGTAAAGAGTGAGGGACCGAGATTAAAGTAGACAACAGCACAAACAACATTAAGGGGAATAAAAGCTAAGATGCACGGACGTATCGGTGACACAGCTAGTGCTGTGGGCACCCGGGAGACGGGGGACCGAGGTACGGTATCCAAGGGAGCGAATCAGTCCCATCGCACTGGCCTGGAGCTGGGTGGGGTGAGTGTGGGAGCCGCAGGTCTGCAGCGGTCCCCCAGCCACACTCTCTGCCTGTCTCCGCCACCCATTGCTTGGGACACTTCCCAGCACCCTGTCCCAAGAGTGGGCTGTGAGGAAACAAGATGTGAGTAAAGCCTGGCCTGCCCATGAGGAATTTCCTCCCTCAGAAGGTAGTGGCTGTGGGTTGGGTCCGTCATCTGGCCTCATGCTTAATCATTTCACTCCAGCATGGGAAATATTATGATTACCTGTCCTTCTTAAAAAGGAAAACAACTTCCCTGTCCAGGCCACTTTTGAAAGCTGGAGATTCTAGGGGTAGTGCCTCAGACAAAGCATGTAGGCTCCTGAGTGATTTCCCCCAGCTGCCCTCGTTTGCATTTGGATAGAGCTTGGTTGGAGTTCCAAGGGCTGATGCTGGGAACCTTGCTCTGGATGCGAGGCCTGCCCCTGGAGGGAGCCGCGGAGGACTGGCAGCTGCAGATGCTGGAGCAGGCCAGCCTGTGGCTGGGCCGTAGCTTCCTGCTGGCAGGCTTCCTGGTATCGAGCAGCTGCCCCAGCCTGGAGCAGGCGGCCAAGGGTGAGGGCTGTTCCCCCATCCCTTGTTTCGCCCACTGCCTCGACTCCCTGGTGAGAAACTTTCTGTGTCACCCTCACAGTGTCCAGATCATCCTGGGCACTGCCAGGGCCACCTGCAGCCATTTCTAAGGCTCTGTGGAGGCCCAGGGACTCCTCACCCAGCTCCAGCGCCAGCGCAGCCTCCTAGCCCACCAGCCCTTTGAGGAGCTCTTGGACCACTGGGTCTCGGCCTACCACCTGCTGGAGTGGCTGGTGGAGCAGCAGCAGCCCCTTCAAGAGTACAAGGGCAGGCACCAGCTGGGGAAGGCTGGTGTTGCCTTGTCGGCCACATTCTGGAGCCCGGCAGACAGCCTCAGCAAGCTCCTGTAGCCCTTCCAGATGGTGGTCCGCGAGGCGAGTGCGGCACAGGCCTCTCTGAGCCAGGTGCTGCCCCAGCTGCGCTACCTGCACATCTTCCTGGAGCAGGTTCACACACACTTTCAGGAGCAGAGTGTCGGGGAGAGGGGCGCAGCCATCCAGCTGGCTGAGGGGTTGGCCCGGCAGCTCTGCACCGACTGTCAGCTCAACAAGCTCTTCTACCGCGAGGAGTTTGTGCTGGCCACCTTGCTGGACCCTTGCTTCAAGGGGAAGATTGAGGCCATCCTGCCATGGGGGCCGACCGACATTGACCACTGGAAGCAAGTCCTCGTGTACAAGGTGAAGGAGATTAGAGTGTCTGAATACTCTTTGAACTCCCCAAGTCCCCTGCAAAGCCCCAGGGGTCTGTGCGTGGACCCCACCAGGGTAGCCAAGAGCTCCGGGGTGGAGGGGAGAAGCCAGGGGGAGCCTCTGCAGAGCAGCAGCCACTCTGGGGCCTTCCTGCTGGCCCAGAGGGAGAAGGGCTTGCTGGAGAGCATGGGGCTGCTGGCCTCTGAGAGAAGCGGGGGCTCGCTGTCCACCAAGAGCCACTGGGCCAGCATCATTGTCAAGAAGTATCTGTGGGAGAATGAGACCGTTGGAGCCCAGGATGACCCCCTGGCTTACTGGGAGAAGAAGCGAGAAGCCTGGCCACCATCTATCTGTCTTACCCCCCACAGGAGCCTTCTCTGAAAGCATCTTTGCCTCCCTGAACAGCCCCACCCTTGTAGAGCAAAACTCTTCTCTCAAGGTGGAAGCCATTGAGCATCTCCTCTTCTTGAAGGCCAACCTGGAGCAGTTCCCCAACTACACCCCGCCTCCCCTCATCTGCTCTAGTGGTGACCTGGCCAAGGGGATACAGACCCTGCAGTCCGCTCAGGGTGGGATGGCAGACATGGCAGGTGCCGGTGCTCACCCTGCCCGTGAACTCCTAGAGAGCCCCTGCCTGTAATAGGTCAAAGCAGAGAGCTGGGTGTTGCATCCTGGGCGCCACATGCTCATGGCCAGAATCTTAAACCTATTTGGTAGGAAAGGGTCAGTTTCTCACTTGACAGATTGCCATATTTTTTTTTCTGGGAGATGTCATTTTCCATCTCCCGATTACTTCCTTTACGTCTAGCAGTATGTGCCGAGAAGAGGCTTACTCTCTTCGTAGGTGACTGTGAATTTTGTACTACGTGGCTTTGTACATGTGATGCTCTGTTAAAACATAAGTGGGTATGAAGGTCCTTGCATACACCTTGTCTGTGTGGATAAGTGGACACATGCCCTTAAGAGGCTTGCTTTCTCAAAAAGTGGCCAAGGATGTGGAGTGGGCATGTGCTGGCAGGTGGGATATGTCCTCAGCCTTTGGGGGCCTGGATAAGCTATTGCAGCACTTTCTGAGGCTTTCACTGTAGGGAGAAGGAAACCCCAAGGGTAGAATAGCCATTTCCAGAGGGAAGTACACACATACCCCCACACACCAGTCTTTTTGGGGGTTTCAGAGTGGCCGGAGAAACCGACTGAAGGGACTGACCAGCTAGCTAGGAGAGCTGAGACGCCAGTCCTCAAATGGCGTTCTTACCAATAGTCTATTTCCAGACTACTGGAAACGTTGGGGTTTCTTCCTCCAGTGACAGCAGCCTCAGTAGCTTTCCTGGGCTCCAGGCGGCTGGCTGCACACCCTGCCTGCCATCACCCTTGCCCCTGCTTGTCCTGGACCACTTTTAAAGGGGAAGTCCCTTATTTGGAAGAGAGAAAGGATGTGTGTAGCACACACTCATCATGGATTGCTCAGAGTTCCTTTAGGGCAGAGCTGAGGGCCTGGGATCCAGGAACCAGTGGGATTGGATGGGAGAAGAAGGAAGGGGGTGGCCCGTCACCCCCGCAAGACTTGCATCCAGGTAGCCTAAGGACTCCTGGTCACTGGGTAGGGTGGCTGCTGAGATGCAGGTCGGAAGAGGCAGGGGAAGGCTCCAGGCCTAACTTGGAGCATGTCACTGGCCATGGGGGTGAGGGGACAGACTCTGCTCTCACTGGCTGGCAGCCCCAGGAGCCTGTTCCCTTGCCTCTCCTGGATGGGTTGTCAGCCCTGTGTTTCACTGTGACCAATTCATTATAACATTTGGATATTACTGAAAATGTAAGGAAGCAGGAAAAATTAACTACTTTCATTCAGAGATAGCCTCTATCAATAGTTTGACATTTTTCCCTCTTTTACATTGAGATCATACCCTAGGTACTGTTTAGTATGCAATATTTTCATTTTCGCAGTATAATAATTGCACCTGTTAAATAAAGTTTTGTAAACATTTAATAACTGGAGTAGTATGATTTGCATTAAAGTCTGGCCTCCAGATTGCTTAGATCACTCCACTACCTGTAGCACTAGGTGTGGGAGTGGGGTGGTGGGGACACATTCGCAGGTGATAGGGGGCCGGATTTGTCTGGGGGAGGGGCCTCACTACTGCCCCTGGCTCCAGAGCAGGGATAGGAGGGGCAGGGCTTGCTGGATCTCTCCCTGCAGTGTCCTGTACCTCACTCGCAGGATCCTGACTCACATGTCGGGGCGGGGAGGATCCGAGAATGTGATGCATCCTCAGGTTGCCTTGGGCAGCGTGCGTGACTGTGCTTCCATCCTTGAGCAGTTGGAACTGTTCTTGGAAGTGGCATTGTGGCTCTGCTGTGTGGCATCACCGAGCGGGCTCATGTTCTGGGAGAGGACTGGGAGGCCTAGAATGGTGAGGCAGCGAGGCTCGGGAGAAGAACGTGAGAAGATTGGGTGAGGATGAAAGGAAGAGGGTGAGAGAGCTTGATGGCACCGAACCAGGGGGCTTGGGCTCTAGAACCTTCACTTTCATCTAGGCGCAGTTTTGTCCCCCAGTGGACATTGACAATGTCTGGAGGTGTCTTTAGTTGTTCCAAGTGGGGTAAGGGGAGTGGTTCTGTTGGTGTCTAGTGGACAAAGGCCAGGGATGCTGCTCAGCACCCTCCAATGTGCAGGACGGCCTCCACAACCAAGGCTCAGCCTGCCCAGATGGCAGTAATGCCAGGGTTGGGAAGCCCTCTTCTAGAGCGTTAGAGCCTCCAGTCCACCCGAGGCTGCTCTGGGTTGAAGCGTTCCTCCCCCTAGACTTAGCTCTGCCCTGTGGGCCTCATTTCCCAGGCAGAAGACACTCACCAACGCCTGGGACCATCTTCCCTGGTTCTCAGTCAGCCTCCCTCAAAGGGCCCAAGTGCCATCCTTGTCACCAGTCCTCTTTCCAGACTCTGTTGCTGGGCCAGGAGGTCTCTGTTCCCTTCATTTCCATAGTTAGGACAAGGACGGCTCCTTCTGGAGGAGTGCTGAAGCAGGTGGACGTGCGGGAAGCCATCCTCCTTGTGTCTGCGGGCAGCCTGATGGTTAGTTGGGTCTGCACAGGTGGGCGCCGGCTGGTTCTCAGTCCTACTGGGCTACCTGTTTGCAGTGTGCAGGTGATGGACCAGAAACACAGCAGAGGTCACTGACCCCCAAGAGAATGAGGGTTATGCACGACCCATCACCAAGACCCAGGCCTGCATCTGGTGAGGGCAGGACGGGGCCACACTGGTGCAGGGCTGTGTGTTGGAGGGCAACAGGGAAGGGCCGATTTCTGTCCCGGTGGGGTCTTTCTGCTCCGTTTCCTCTTCTGTAAACCATGTTCCTGGTGTGAGCATGCACAGTTGCCTGCCTCTGTCTGCCTGCTTCTTTGCTCTCTCCCTTTGCTGAGCCATCATCTCCATCTAAAAAGCCACTGACCCAGTTCCTCAGGGCATTCACTTAACCTCTGCAGTCCCACTGTGGCCTCACCTGTGCCCAGGACTGCTCATCCAGTGGCTGTGTCTCCAGCCTCATCTCGTCTGAGTCCAGTGGGGCGTCCTAGTAGTGTTGGTCTCACTCCTTAAAAGCCTTCCGTGTTCTCCTCCCTCTGGCTGCTTGGCAGAATCCTTCACAGACTCGTTCATTCAGCCTCGTAGGTCAGCCTCCACCTCTGCTGCTCGTGCATAGGACATCTTCCACATTCACTCCTGAAATAGCGGGTGGGTGGGAGGGGTGCCTGCTCCTGGAGAGAGGCCTGCGAGTTCTTAGAGAGCTCTGTATCCCCAGCATGGTTGGCCCCATGCACTGCATGCCCTCCTTGATGCCAGCTGCCATCTCCCTGCTGATGGTGCCTGGATCCCTCCAGCCTGGAGCTCCAGCTGCCTCCTGAGCCCCACGCCACACTCACTCAAGCTGAGTGCTGTGTAGCTGGATGTCTTCTTGTCTCCAACCTGTCCCACCTGCATTTCACATGTCTGAGAAGGGAGCCCCGGGCCGGGTGTGGTGGCTCACGCCTGTAATCCCAACACTTTGGGAGGCCGAGGCAGGGGGCATCACCTGAGGTCAGGAGTTTGAGACCAGCCTGGCCAACATGATGAAACCCCGTCTCTACTAAAAATACAAAAATTAGCCAGGCATGGTGGTGGCGGGTGCCTGTAATCCCAGCTACTTGGGAGGCTGAGGCAGGAGAATCGCTTGAACCCAGGAGGCGGAGGTTGCGGTGAGCCGAGATCGCGCCATTGTGCCATTGCACTCCAGCCAGGGCAACAAGAGTGAAACTCTGTCTCAAAAAAAAAAAAAAAAAAGAAAAAAAGGAGCCCCTGGCATACAGTCACCCAGCAAGATTCCCCAGTCGTCCTAGGCTCTTTTTCCTCCTCCCCATTGCTTCCTGCCCTCCTTAGGGCCTGTATCTTTTGTTTTCACAGCAGACAGGTTTCTAGTGCCTGGTGCTCCTCCTGCACCCCCCACGTTAGGGGCCAGAGCAGCTTTAATCAAATGCAAAGTTGATTGCATCACTCCCTGTTTACAAACCCCAAAAGATTCCATTCCCACTGAGGGAATCCACACTTCTTGGCAGATGCTTCCAGTCTCTTTTGGAAAGTATATATAAATATTTGAGGTATAAATAAAAGAGAATGAGCTGGAATGTTGCAGACTAGAAGGGAGCTAGATAAGGAAATGGGGGCCATAAGCACAAGGACTCCCCTTTCCAGATGGGGTGTAGAGGACATAAGGATGGCAAGACCGTTTACATCCTCGCCAGCTCCCTGGTTGGGAACATAGTAAATATCTTTGTTGATGGTGTGGGAGGAGCTAAGTGGATCAGGCTCTGGGCCTGGTTTCCTTGGAGAGGGGAAAATGAAAAGTGTTGATATGTAAACTCAGTCACCGACACCCTGCATCAGATCTGCAGGGCAGGCATCACCCCGCCGGCCTGGGTGAGACTCCTGGGTCTGGGCCTGGCCAAAGTCTGCCAGGTTGGGAAAGCTGCGCTTGGAAGAGGTCTGTTATTTTCCTCACTGCTTAAATCTTGAGGTCCCTCCACCAGGCCACCCCTGCTTTGTGCCACAGTCATGCGCTGGCACCTGGACTCACCTGGTCCTGCAGCCCCTGGCAATTTGATGTGCCCCTCCCGGCTTTCTGGAGCCACCCTTCCCTCCCTCCAAGACAGCCTGCCCTTTGGGAAATTTATGTTGTCTTTGCAGCTGGCACCGTGCTGTCTGGCACGTATATCAGTGCTGTTCCATTGATCTGTCCAGCTGAGTCCAGAGCAAAAGAGCTAGCTTTGGCGGGCAGTGAAGTGAGAGCAAGGGTGTGCGACCTAGCCAGGCCACTTACCCCAGCCTTCCCTGTCCCTTCACTACCTTGACCTCAGTTTTCTCCTTCAGGACTAAAGGCCAACTTCTTATGCTCTACAGCTCCAACCAGAGGTACCAGCTGACCCATATAATCTGGAAACAAGTTTGAATTCATTGCTGTTAGAAAGAATTGCAGTAATACTGAGTGAATCAAACAAGGCACATGTGCTCTCGTTTGCATTGCATATACATTGATTATCCCAGAAAGAAAACAAAAGAAACTGGTGATGGTGGTTACCTATTGCCTATTCAAAAATAACGGTTTAAAAAACACCCCAAAACTAATAGGGATGGATCGTGAGTGGTTACGGAAAAAGTAAAATAATGTTTTGCCCCTAGTTTGGATTTGACAGGAAGAACTGGTAATATTGGGCCTGAATCCATCCAGCATGGCCCTAACCAGCCAGGGCCAGTCTGGGCTGCTCCCCTTGGGTTGGGCCTGCACCCCATCCCTGTCACTCAGATGGCTTTTGTGGCCTGTGTCCCAGCTTGGTCTTCAGGTCTTGCCTGGCTGAGATTGTTGGTTTTCATGGTAAAAGCAGGGTCAGACTCCCTGCCGTCACCTGCTGCGTAAGACACAGAAAGTGCTGCCTGCTGACTGACTGTCTCTCCTCAGGGACTGGCTGGCTTCGAGCAGGGCATCGGAACCAGGCCTCCTGGCACTGGCCTGGGTAGAGCCAGGGCGAGCACCAGCTGACCCCCAGTGGAACCCTGTGACAGTCCTGCCAGGGCCCAGGCCATCCCAACCGACTTCCATCTCATGGACCCTCCAGCGGAGAAGCCGGGAGAGGCTGGCGGACTGCAGATCACACCCCAGCTGCTGAAGTCACGCACAGGCGAGTTCTCCCTGGAGTCCATCCTGCTACTGAAGCTGCGTGGCTTGGGACTGGCTGACCTGGGCTGCCTGGGAGAGTGCCTGGGCCTGGAGTGGCTGGACCTATCAGGCAACGCGCTCACCCACCTGGGCCCGCTGGCCTCCTTGCGCCAGCTAGCTGTGCTCAATGTCTCCAACAATCGGCTGACGGGCCTGGAGCCACTGGCCACCTGTGAGAACTTGCAGAGTCTCAATGCCGCAGGCAACCTACTGGCCACCCCGGGCCAGCTGCAGTGTCTGGCTGGGCTACCGTGCCTGGAGTACCTGCGGCTCCGAGACCCTTTGGCCCGGCTCAGCAACCCGCTCTGTGCCAACCCCTCCTACTGGGCTGCAGTCCGGGAGCTGCTGCCTGGCCTGAAAGTCATCGACGGTGAGCGTGTGATTGGGCGTGGTAGTGAGTTCTACCAGCTGTGCCGAGACCTGGACAGCTCCTTGCGTCCCAGCTCCAGTCCAGGCCCCAGAGCCACCGAGGCCCAGCCCTGGGTGGAGCCAGGCTACTGGGAGTCCTGGCCCAGCCGGAGCAGCTCCATCCTGGAGGAGGCCTGCCGGCAGTTCCAGGACACACTGCAGGAGTGCTGGGACCTGGACCGCCAGGCCAGCGACAGCCTGGCCCAGGCGGAGCAGGTACTCAGCTCTGCGGGCCCCACCTCTTCCTTCGTCTTCTGAACGTGGCCTATGGCCCAGGACAGCCTGGCAGGTGGCCTCGCTGCCCCCAGTTCCCCTCTCTGCCCCCACACTCGTCTTAGTTGCTTCACACTGGTCACTGGCCCTGCACACTGGGCTATTGCTTTATCCCTATCCTGAGAGCAGCCCCTCCCCACCATCCCTCCACATGCTGCAAGGACAGACTGAAGGGCTGTGAGCAGGTGTAAGGGCTCCCACATCCGTGAGCCTGTGTCCGCAGCTGCTGCCACTCTGGGCTGCTCCAGCCTGCAACTTAGTGGAAGGAATTACTTCCTCCTGAGGCTACAGGCGAGAAAGGTAGGGATGGGCCAGCCTCCCGTCTCAGCTGTTGGGAGACAGTAGGCAGGCTGAGTGGCCCAGAGCACTCCTGGAAGTGGGACTCCCCTGCCTTGCAAATGTGCCTCTCCAGACTGCTCCTGCACTTACCCCCTCCCCGCAGCACCTTCTCTGCCCGTTCTTGTCCACACATCTATTAAATGCTTCTGTTTTCATTTGCATCCCTGCCTGGCATTTCATGGGGGCACCTCTGGCTCTGGAGCACAGGAGGCTCTGCTCACCCTGCCCACAGGAAGGGGTCCCAGAGGAAGGGTCCTGTCCCCCTGCCCTCTCTGGCCGCCTCTGAGCTACGCTAAGGAGGAAGTCGTGCAACACAAGGAGCTGAGAGGCAGCTGGGAGAGCAGCTTTATTATCATGGCTGGGGATAGAACGGGTTCCTCTCCCTGGGGGCTGGGGTCTTCCACTGGTTACCACCCGCAGCGGTCCTGGAGGCACCACGCATCTCTAGACAAAAGGGGAAACAGGTTTGGGGGTGAGGGAGGTTGCTTCAGCCCCAGTCCCAGCTTTCCTCCCAGGCTTCTGACCTGTCCCCTCCCAGGCTCCCAAAGCCCAGCCCAGCCCCTCAGCATTCCCAGGGCTGGCCTCATCCAGACGGTGCTCTCAGCCCCCTGGTGCCTACCAGTGCTGGCTTAGCTGCGGGGCAGGGCCTTGGAGAAGGCGAACTGTCCAGGGAAGTAGAAGCTGTGGGGGTCCTCACCAGCCCGCTGCACCCTGAGGCACTGGGTCTCCTGGTGCTCCTCAGCCTCCTGCCAGTGCCCAAAACTGTTCAGGCAGTGTAGGAGGGGTGGGCAGTGCCAGTGGAGGGCTGCCAGCATCCTCCACATCCCCTCCACATCCCTTGGAGAATGTCCAAACAGGCACAGCGCTTTCTAGCCCCCACTGCCCTCCCTCCTGCTTGGCCAAGCTTTAGCCTCGAGACCAGCCCATAGGCTCAGCTTCCATCCATCTTCCCAGCCCTGTCACCACCTGTGCACCCTTGCCCCTTCTTACCCGCAGAACTTGGGTCTCTATGGGGCAGTGGACCAACCGGCCCAGAACTTTGTCCTCAGAGCCCAGTTTGATGCAGGCCAGGCATTTCCGTTTCCTCTGTGGGGGAGCGGGGAGCATGGGGTGAGCAGAGGAAAAGGGTGAGGGAGGCCTGGGCATCATGAGGGTGGGAGCCAGGGCTGCCCATCATGGGACCAGATCCCCAACTAGGCCCTCGAGCCCAGGAGCAAGAGGTCATGCAGGCCAGCAGGTTTCAGGCACAGCCACCCTAGAATGTCAGAAGTCAGACCCATGCAGTTTTCAAACTATGGAACTTTCATGTGTGTGCAGGCAGGAGTCCTTCCCAGATGGGTTGTGTGGCACATGCATAAACACGCATGTATGTGGTTTGTATGCAGGAGTGTGGGTGGATGGGTGTGTGATGTATGCATGGATGTGTCTGCTTGTGCTCGTGTGAAGGCAAGAATCCTCCTCCGATGGGTTCTTCCCACCCAACGCCTCCAGAGTGGCTCAGCTGTCACCTATTCTATTTATTTTCTTGTAAGATTTGATTTTGAGGTTGATGAATCATTGCTATAGTCCAGTGCCCTCCTTGAGCCGACAGAGGGAACTGGGGCCTTTGCAGAACCTGTAATACAGAGCCCAGGCCGTGCTCACAGAGCGGGAACTAGAACACAGTCACTGCACTCCCAGCCCAGGCATCACCCCCACGGTGGAAGGTTTGCCCCCACCGTGACTGATGACTGGAGTCCTGCTAGGCTAGGGGGGCACCAGACACACCCACACAGCCGGCTCCTTCCACCCAGGCCCTGATGCTTGAGAGAGGAACTCAGACCGAGGTGAGCCCTGCTCTGATGAAGATAAGTCCAGGGGTAACCAAACCATCTTCCTGTCTGCCAGGCCCCAGCTCCCACCAGCCACTCTCACAACCTTGGGCTCAGGCTGAGCCACTCCACCTCTAAGGAGGCTCTTCGCAGTGGGGTCTCTAACCTCAGGGCTTCTTAATGGACCTCCCAATTCATGCATGCACACCCAGGCATGTGCCCCACACCCCAAACCCCAAGTCCATGCACTCACACCCAGCATGCGCCCATTGCTCTCACACCCCTTCACTCACCCCATTGGGCCTGACTTTGCACTCGGGTTTCTTCCAGTCCCTCTTCCGGCAGCTTGTCTGCTGCAGCTTAAATTCCAGCCTCACAAATATTCCAGCTGGGAAGGGCTGCGGACAGACAGGCAGGCAGAGGATGGCCGGTAGCCAGCTGAGGGTGCAGAGCAAGCCCTGGTGTGATCCGCACCTCCCTCACGCAGTCACATTCCAGCAGGCTGGACAGTGGCCTTTTCTCCAAAGGGCTGGGGCTCAGAGCCCAAGCACTTCTGTCCCCCTTCGTGGGAATGCGCTGGTCTCCTGGGGTACGACCCTCCCCGCTCCTGCCCGGGCCATGCTACTCACCGTGTCCACGGCGCTCTCCACACTGGTCTCCTGGAAGGCCCACTGCACGGGCGGGTGCTTGTGAAATTCCTCCAGGGCCACCTGCAGGCCCCGGCGCTGGGCTTCCGTGAGCTCGGCGACGCCCACGCCCACCGCACCCAGCCACAGGGCCAGAGGGATCAGCAGCCGTCGCATGCTTCCGTGTCACCCTGGCCCTGCGAAGCGGGTGTGCGCCCCTCAGCTCTCCGAGCCAGCCCGAGCCGCCTCCTCCCGCGCCCTGCTCTGGGGGGAGGGTGGGGAGCGGGGGCGGGGTCCAGGCCTGTAGAACGCTGGGCACAGGTGAAGGAGCCTGGAAATGGCCCTTTCTCCAAATTGACCTTAGGGTCCGCCTGGCCCTCTCCGTTCCCTCCCACCCTGCCCGCGCTGTTCCCTGGGGCCTGCAGTTTTAGCAAAGTTCCCTGCCCACGCTAGGAATCAGTCAGTTCGCACTCCCACCCTACACCCCTAATCTTGCCCATTGTGTCTCTCCCTGGGTCTCCGGCACGACCCACTCTCCTCCCTGCCGTCCCCGGAGCCCCTCTCTCCTTTCCCCGCTCAGCCTTCTCCCCAACCGCTACTCCCTCCCCGTCCAGAATCCCCCTGCTCCCACGGGGTTCCCCCCACGTCCCCGAGGTCCAGGCCAGCCGGGGGAAGGGGCAGGGGCCGGAGGCCGAATACTTTTGGGAGGACCTAAACACGTGGGAGGGTCCGGACGGGTGGGAGCGGCGGGAGGCCTAATCCTCCCGGCGCGGGGGCTGCCGCGGGCCACCAGCCAGCCCCAGTCGCTAGGAATGGGGGTCTCGCGCCGCCCAGCCCTTGGCTTTCCCGCTTCAGGCAAAATCTTCCCTCCTTCCTCTTTTTTCTGGGGCCTTCCCCACGACCCCTCTTCCTAGCCCTTCTGATCCGTCCCCTGATGCATGACTGGGGCCACCGGAGGGGCTGACCCTCCCGGAGAGCCCCGTCGGTCCTGGTGGTCTTGGGACCGGAGAGCGACAGATGTGGAAACCGAGGCCCCTCAGTGAAGAGCTGCCAGGGTGGTCGCCTTAGAGCAAAGGCGTTCCTCATTCCGCCTGCGCAGCTGCCCCTCCGCCCGGCTGCCGCCCCAGCCCGCTTCCCCTCCTCACGTCCTTCCCTGCGCCTGGAGGTCTCCCCTGACCGTCCCGCAGCTGAAATCTTGGCCTCGCTGTCCGCCTCTTCCCGCTCTTCTTCTCGCGGGGCGGCCCCCACCTCCTCCCACCCCCACCTCCTGGACCCCCTCCAGCAACTCTGGCTCCTCCCCTCCCCAGTGGGACCGGCCTCTGGGGCGGGATGCCCTCCCGCGCCCTCCCTCCCCATCCCACCCCCCTCCTTCCCCTCGATCCAGCCCTCATGACCCTGACCCTGGCCGCGGCTGCAGGCGGCTCGCCCAGGCGCGCAGCCCTCGGTCCCACCTCCCTCTGGCTCGGGCCTGAGCATTCCGCAGCCTCGGCCGGCCCGGGCCTCTTCTCCGCTGCTCTGCTCCCCCAAGGACTTTCTGTGCCCCACTCCTACCCAGGCAGGGCTGCCCTGTCTTGGGTCCTTTACGGGGGACCATTCCCCAGCGTCCCTGAGACACTCATCCTGGGATTTCTTCCCCTAAATACAGACATTCTCAAACCAAATGAGACCTCGAGGTCCCTACACCTGATCCTGCCTCCCACTCCCTGAGCCACACTGAGAAGGAAGGTCTCTCCTTTAGGGAGGACTCTGGCGCCTGCAACCTTGATCGACAGCAAAGATGTCCAGTGTGTATCCTGCATCTGCCTTTCCTGACCATTCCTCGTGCCCCATTCTCCGTGGGATAGATTCTCATGGGGAGTGGGGGAGCCTTCGGGTGTGGCAGAACGGCATGATGGAATTCATAAGGTGAGCAGAAACTCAAGGAAAACTGTCCAAATACCGGCTCGACTCCTGGGTACGCTGGAGCAAGGATGAAGAAGCTCTGAGACTTTGCACGTCAGTAACCACCAACACCATGCCTCTGGTTCCCACACCGCAGGGATCACCTGAAGTAGAGGATCTCATGTAACTTCATGGCTCTCTCTGAACTTCTGTTTCTTTATCTGTAAGATGGGGATCAGAAACTCTGTCTTAAGGAGTTGTTTTGAGGATTAAATGAAGAAACATGAAAAGCAACTGATGTCCAGTGCCGAGCACAAGGCTTTTGTCCCCTACTTACGCACCCCTAACCAGGATTCTCCACTTAGAGCTGAGAATTTCCTTTACAGTGTGCTCTGGGGGCACCAGAAAGAAACTCGGCTTCCATTAACCACTTCCAGGTGTCTGAAATCCCACCACTACTTAGGGTACTTCACTCCCCAGCTGTGAGCTACTCAGCCGCCCTTAAGCAGAAAGAGATGGGATCCGTGTTCCCTGAAAGCTTTAGATGGGGTTAGAGAGAAAAGATGCACCCAAAGATGTTTCCCAGCCCAAGAACTTGAAGGAAACCAAAATATTTCACCCCAAAAAATACTTCTTTGACACATTTCAAGGTGGCTGTTCAGAATGGTTGGAAATAGAATAACCAAAAAGCTGTCTTTTTGTGGAGAGATTTGCATCTGTAGAGGAAATCTGCATTGATGTAGCCAGGCTTTCTCCGAGGCTCTCCCTTGTCTAACTCTAGGAAAGATTAACTGAGAGGCTGACACCTTTACAGATCTGAAAGAAACATTTACCCTCAGTTCTTTCTGAGGGCTGCTACCTGTGAGGTGTCATCTACCTAACAAGACTCCCTTTGCCAACCAGGCCTCCTCTTCCCTCCCTTCCATAACCTGTCTTGCCACTATCTGAGCCCCCATATTTGTATAAACTCAAGATGGTGGATAAGCTTCTGTATCCCACTGAGGGGTTGGGGTAATCACTTTGTGGTTCTCTCTCATGTATGTTAATAAATATTTCCTGTTAAAGCCGAGGCAGGAGGATTGCTTGAGCCCAGGAGTTCAAAGGTGCAGTGAGCTCTGATCATGAAACTGTACTTCAGCCTCTCTGGACAGAGCAAGACCTTGTCTCTAAAATATAAATGAATCAATTTATTCTATTAATCTGCCTTTCATCAGTTGATTTTTCAGCAAACCTTCAGAAGGCAAAGGGGAAGTTTTCCTTTGGCCCCCACAGACCCATGCTGGGGGACGTCCTGAGGATGGGTGAGGAGAGAAATCTTCCAGGACAAGGTAGGACTTGAGCTGAGCAAAGCGGGAAACTCATCCTGACTTTGGTGGGGGCTGGGGGGAAAGTTGCATCAGGTCTGTTGCAGGGGAGGTGAGGCAGTTGAGGTGGGGAGGTAGGTTGGGAGCAGGGTGGTGGGAGTTGGTGAGGAAGGAGCCAGTCTGGCTATACTTAAATGGCCACACAAAATTCACTTTGGGTGTAGGTATGTGAGGTGCACCCCAAAGAGGTGGACAGTCCTACTGCAGAGCACTCATAGGTGTGGATGTGTGAAAGGACTACTTAGGGCATATTCATGAGCTCAGCTCCAGGTAACATGTCCCAGTCCAGGGGAGCAACAACAGGACTTCACTATTTAATGATGGTTAATGATCTTCCTGGTCATGACAGCTAAAAAAGTAGACTCACGTATCCAGTTGTTCCAAGCTTAGTTTTCCAATAACTGAACTGAGTACCAAAAAACATTGTCCTTTAATATTTGCAACCACATTGACAAAAATAGTTTTTTTTAGAAGAAGTGATTTGACTTTGAAGTAAGAGCATATCAGTTGCAAAACTACACCTATTGAAGTTAAGTACATTTTCCAACTTGTGTCAATTCGGTACCATTAGCATAAATTCAAAAATGATATTGCATAAATTCAAAAGCCATTCTAAATTTATCAATATCAACTAAGAATTCTTCACATTTTTCTTGAAATTTTGCCAATTTACACAATGCTGTATATTACAATTAAAACCTCTGTATGTTGATTCTTGTGACAAAAGTATGTAGATTGTAATTATTTGTCAGTATTATGAAAATATTTAATTTGAAATGCTTATATTTATCTGGCTAGGTCACAAATGAGGTTTCATCTCCTTGGATATTCAAATTTAGCCCATTTATATGTAGTGTGGTATTGGTGAGAAAACACTGACTTTTTTATTTTTAATTATTGAATATTTGGGTTGAGAGTAGTGACTCATGCCTGTAATCCTAGCACTTTGGGAGTCCAAGGTGGGTGGATCACTGAACCCAGGAGTTCAAGACCAGCCTGGGCAATATAGAGAGAGGCTATCTTTACAAAAAAAAAAAAGTTTAATTAGCTGAGTGTGGTGGCAAAAGTCTGTAGTCCTGGCTACTCAGGAGGCTGGCGGGGGACGATCACTTGAGCCTGGGAAGTCAAGGTTGCAGTGAGCTATGATCATGCCACTACATGACCCTCCCACCTCAGCCTCCCAAAGTGTTGGGATTATAGGCTCAAGCCACCACTCTCAGACTTGGCCACAGAGCAAAACCTTGTCCCCAAAACAAATAATAATAATACTTATTGTTGTATATTTGGTAATCATGGCTTCTGTCTCAAGAAAATCTTGGAGTTAGTTAAAAGTACAGTAAATCTTAGGAGAACTCTTCTACAACCCTGACAATGAGCTTTGGTAAAGAAAAGATCATTAAATTCATTATCTTTCATTGCTTTCAACAGTTCCATAAAACCAGCAGTGATTCATAGCATTTCCACTTAAATACGGAATTAGTTTTAATGGCTGTAGCCATGAGACTTGCATAGAATAAATTTCAGAAAACTGAGCACAAATATCTTCAATATGTACCCTAAAGTGAAATGAAGCAACATTGGAAGCATCAATCTCTTGTTTTAGCATTCCAATAAATACCTCAGTCACACCAGCCACATGGCAAGTGTTCCTAAACCTGTGGCTGGTGGCTACCATATTGGATATTGCAGGCAGAGCATGTGTTACCAATTATGTGAGTAAAAACTAAAACTAAAAATGAACAAATTTTTGTGTTTGTAAATGCATGGAATATTTCTAGAAGGGAAAAACAAGAAACTTATAACAGTGTTTGCCTGTGAGGAGAGGATCTGTCCAGCTGGGGAAAACAGAGGCAGGAAAACTGTACTCCCTTTGTACTTTTAAATTTTTATAACTTGTGGATAATTTGTCTATTAAAATATAAAAAAACTTTAAAAACTATTTTTTGAGACAGGGTCTTGCTCTGTCGTTCAAGCTGGAGAGCAGTGGCTCAATCATGGCTCACTGCAGCCTCAACCTCCTGTGCTCAAGCGATCCTCCCACCTCAGCCTCCCAAGTAGCTTGGACCACAGGTGCATGCCATCATCCTAGGCTAATTTTTGTATTTTTTTCTAGAGACAGGATTTTGTCACATTGCCCAGGCTGATCTCAAACTTCTAGGTTCAGCAATCCACCCACCTTGGACTCTCAAAGTGCTGAAATTACAGGCTTGAGCCACTGTGCTTGGCCTTAATACTTTTAAAATCAGAAAGCAAAGCAACAGCTTTTCTTTTGTCTTCTTTTCTTTTCTCTTTTTTTGAGACAAAGTCTTATTCTGTTGCCCAGGCTGGAGTGCAATGGCATAATCAGAGCTCACTGCAGCCTCCATGTTCTAGGCTCTATTGATCTTCCTGCCTCAGCCTCCCAGTAGCTAGAACTACAGGACCACCTCACCCAGCTAGTTTTTATTATTATTATTTTTTTTTTCAGGAGAGAGGAGGTTTTGTTTTGTTGCCCAGGCTGGTCTTGAACTTCTGAGCTCAAGTGATCCTCCTACCTTACCTTTCCAAACTGCTGAGATTACAGGTGTGAGCCACCGCGCCTGGTCCCAATAGCATTTCTGAAAGCTTACTCTGGCTGCTGTGTGGAGAGTGGATAAAAGGGAATAAATCTCAGCAGGAGATAATTGTGATTGTCCGGGTGAGAGACGAATGTGGCAGGGACAAAACTGGAGGCAGTGAAGATGGGAAAACAAAGTCCAGAAATACCTCAGGACTAAAGCACCAGGGTTTGGTGATTGATAAGATGTTGGGGTCGAGGTCAACAGAGAGGGGTGAATCCCAGGTTTCTGGCTTGAACAGCTGTAGACATGGTTTTGATCCTCAGGGAGAGAGAGACTCAGGAGGGCAGTGAGGAGAGAAGTGTGAGGTGTCTGTGGAACATGCCAGTGGAGATGTTGACTGAACAGGGCTGGTGGAGCTCTGGCTACAGATGGGAAACTGTGTTATCTGCATGCAGATCGAGATCAGAGCAGAGATGAGACTGGGGATTGGAGAAGGAAGTAGCTTGCCCTGGCGGTAGGAGGGTGAGGAGGGAAGAGGTTAGGACCTCACTGGGAGGGGATCCAACATGGAGTAAGAGGGGTGGGTGGATGAAGATGAGCCGGTAGGAGCTCAGTGGCAGGTCAGGAGCATGTGGTGTCACAGAGGTGGGGAAGGGGATGTTGGGAGGAGGAGGCACGGCTGGCAGTGTGTGCCCAGAGGTTTAGGAAGATGATGCCAGAAAGCACTGGACCTAGCGAGGCCAGCGGTGACTTTAGCAAGAACTGTCTCAGTGTGGAGTGAGTGTAGAAGCACATGGAGGGCAGAGGGAAAGAAGGAATAAGGTAGAGCTGGTGGGTCCGGGGAGAAGCCAGGGCCAGGGAGGGTGCTGTGGTTTCAATGTGCTCCCCAGAAAACTTGTTTTGGAAACTCTTTTTTCCTTCCTTCCTTCCTTCCCTTCCTTTCCCTTTCCTTCCTTCCTTCCTTCCTTCCTTCCTTCCTTCCTTCCTTCCTTCCTTCCTTCCTTCCTTCCTTCCCTCCCTCCTTCCCTCCTCCCTCCCTCCCTCCCTCCTTTTTATTTTCTGGCAGAGTCTCGCTCTGTGGCCCAGGCTGAAGTGCAGTGGCGTGATCGCGGCTCACTGCAAACTCCGTCTCCCAGGTTCAAGTGATTCTCCTGCTTCAGCCTCTCTAGAAGCTGGGATTACAGGCACACGCCACCACACCCAGCTAATTTTGGTATTTTTAGTAGAGGTGGGGTTTCACCATGTTGGCCAGGCTGGTCTCAAACTCCTGGTCTCAAGCGATCTGCCTGCCTTGGCCTCCCAAAGTGCTGGGATTACAGGCATGAGCCGGTGTGCCCAGCCTATGTTTTGGAAACGTAATCCCCAGTGCAACAGTGTTGGGAGGTGGGGCCTAATGAGAGGTATTTAGAGCACGAGGGCTCCTGCTTATAAGAGGATTAATTCCATTATAAAGCTGTGGCTCATGCCTGTAATCCCAGCACTTTGGGAAGCCGAGGCAGGCAGATCTCTTGAGCCGAGGAGTTCAAGGCCAGCCTGGGCAACATGGTAAAACCCCATCTCTACAAAAAAAATACAAAAAAAAAAAAAAAATTAGCTGGGCATAGTGGTAGTCCCAGCTGCTTGGGGGGCTGAGGCAAGAGGATCCCTTGAACCTCAAGGAGGTTGAGGCTGTAGTGAATTGAGATCATGCCACTGCACTCCAGCCTGGGTGACAAAGTGAGACCCTGTCTCAAAAAATAAATAAATAAATAAATAAAATAAATAAAAAATAAAAGTGTTTGAGGCTGCAAGTTCAATCTCTCTCTCTGTCTTGCCCTCCTTTTGCCCTTACACCATGGGGTGATGCAGCAAGAAGGCCCTCACCAGATGTTGGACCTTCAGCCTTGGACTTCCCAACCTCCAGAACCAAGAGAAATAAACTCCTGCTCATTATAAATTACCCAGTCTCAGGTATTCTGTTGTGGCAACACAAATGGACTAAGACAGAGGTGTGTCGTACTGTGTCTTACTTAGAGAAGAGAGGAGTAATCAACAGGAAAGCAGACAGTAAGTGGGGCACTGCAGGGGAAAGCAGCAAACTGTAGGGTTGGATGCAGGCAGGCGTGTGCCACCCAGGGAGGTCTGGGGCAGGAGACTGGCGGTGAGGCCTGGGACTCTCCGCTTCAGAAGACTGACTGCTCATTCCTGTTCTTTGTTTTTCATTTTTCCCCCTTTCTTTTTGCAATCTGGAAAATGCCTTTCCTTTTGCTCATTTACCAAAGGTAAATTTCAGAACATAAAGAGGGATGCACAGCAAATTCTGTCCCATGGATTGTTCTGAAACTGACCATATGCTGCAGCTTCCATGTTTTGATGATGAGACTTAAGTCTGTTACCAGGAGCAAGCCCACAGCTTGTGTGCAGAAACCATGGCTACCATCTACCATCTTTCAGGATGGTCCTCAAAAGACTTTGAAAAGTGACATTTTCTGATGTGAAATCCTGAGGTTCCACTTTTAATCACAGCATGTGATTGTTATATATGTCATTAACTTGATTATTTAAAAAGATATTAATAATAAAACTAAAATTTACCAAAAAATCCTACAACTTGGCAATAAAAGCAGCAAAATACTTTTTTCAAATAATTATTGGATCAATAAGAAGAAATAAACATGATCATAAACAAGAAATAAAACATGTTGCAGAATTGTTAAAAATAACAATAATGTAGCCAGGCATGGTGGTGGGCACCTGTAATCTCAGCTACTTGGGAGGCTGAGGCAGAAGAATCACTTGAACCTGGAAGGCGGAGGTTGCAGTGAGCTGAGATCACACCACTGCACTCCAGCCTGGGGGACAGAGTGAAACTCTGTCTCAAACAAATAAACAAACAAACAAAGAAAATTAATGAAAACACTATATATTAGAACCCATGAGCTGTATTTTGAGAAGTACAATTAAATACCTTTCTTTTTACTAATGAAAGACAAAATGAAAGTAAGCTAATTGTTAACTAGTAAAACCACCAATGAAACTTATGGTAAGGAAAAGGAAAGAACAAATAAAACTAAAAATGTAAATTAGAAAAGAGGAAATTCAGGAAATCCATTAATATATCACATTAATCAGTCAAGGAGAGAAAACCCCATGTAATAATTGCCAAAGATGCTGAAAAAACCTTTGAGAAAATTTAATATCCTCTGCTAATTAAAAAATAAAAGCTCTTGATAAGATAGATTATGAGTACCTTCTTAACATGATTATATGTATGTATAACATACTTAATGATGAAAAATAAACATTCTCATCAAATTCAGGATCAAGAAAAGGATGTCTTCTATTGCTATTATCATTTTACATTTTTTAAGAAACACTAGCCAGTGTAATTGGGCAGACATGAAAAATCAATGATTAAAAATTTCTTTTGAAAAATGGTGAGAAAAAGGCCGGGCGCGGTGTCTCACGCCTGGAATCCCAGCACTTTGGGAGGCCGAGGCGGGTGGATCATGAGGTCAGGAGATCGAGACCATCCTGGCTAACATGGTGAAACCCCGTCTCTACTAAAAATACAAAAAATTAGCTGGGCGTGGTGGCGGGTGCCTGTAGTCCCAGCTACTTGGGAGGATGAGGCAGGAGAATGGCGTGAACCCAGGGGGCGGAGCTTGCAGTGAGCCAAGATCGTGCCGTTGCACTCCAGCCTGGGAGACAGAGCAAGACTCCGTCTCAAAAAAAAAAAAAAAGAAAAATAGTGAGAAAAGTATCCTTATTTGCAAATGGTAGGACTGTGTACCTTCCAAATCCAAGAGAACTAACAGGAATAAATTACTGGAAACAATAAAATAATAAGTGATAGGAAATGGGATTAATATACAAAATCAGTAGGTTTTCTAACATGAATATATTTGGAAAAAAAATATATGTATATATATATATATATATATATATATATATTTGAGACAAGGTCTCACTCTGTTGCCCAGGCAGGAATGCAGTGAGATGTGTTCATGGCTCACTGCAGCCTCAACCTCCCAGGCTCAGGTGATCCTCCCACCTCAGCCTCCCGGATAGCTGGGACTACAGGTGTGCACCACCACGCCCAACTAATTTTTTTTTTTTTTTTGTATTTTGTGCAGTGATGAAGTTTCACCATGTTGCCCAAGCTGGTCTCAAACTCCTGGGCTCAAATGATCTGCCTTCCCTGGCCTCCCAAAGTGTTGGGGTTGCAGGCGTGAGCCACTGTGCCTGGCTGAAAATATAGTTTTTTAAAACCCCATTTACAATAATAAAAAAAGGTTAAGTTCTTAGGAATGAACTTAGTAAAAAAATACAAAGACTATTTAAAAAAACTAACAACAACAAAAAGAATATTTAAAAACTTAACATAATATTAAGGTATATGAAAGAAACCTTGACTAAATAGATAGAATCAAATCATAAAATGTGGCCAGGTGCAGTGGCTCATACCTGTAATCCCAGCACTTTGGGAGGCTGAGACAGGAGAATTGCTTGAACCTGGCAGGCGCAGGTTGCAGTGAGCTGAGATCATGCCATTGCACTCCAGTCTGGGCAACAAGGCTGAAACTCTGTCTCAAAAGGCAAAAAAAAAAAAAAAAAAAAAAAATCATAAAAATGTAAATCATTCCTAAACTAATATATACATTTAACAAGAAAAGTGGATCGCCTGAGATGGGAAGTTGGAGACCAGCCTGACCAACATGGAGAAACCCTGTCTCTACTAAAAGTACAAAATTAGCCGGGTGTGGTGGCCCATACCTGTAATCCCAGCTATTTGGGAGGCTGAGACAGGAGAATTGCTTGAACCTGGAAGGTGGAGATTGCGATCAGCTGAGATCACGCCATTGCACTCCGGTCTGGGCAACAAGAGTGAAACTCTGTCTGAAAAGGAAAAAATAAAATAAATAAAAATGTAAATCATTCCTAAACTAATATTTAAATTTAACAAGGAAAGACAATTGATTCTAACATGTATATGGAAAAATAAACAAGCAAGAATAAACAGAAGTATGAAGATAAAAATAATGTTGACCTCTTAGATGTCCAGATAGCCTATTTGATGTTAAAATGCATTAATAATCTAAAATGAAAACAGTGACATTAGCAAATGAATAGACAAAAAAATGGAACAGAATAGAAACCTCAGACATAAATCCAAATACATATGGGAATTTAATATGTGATAAAGGTGGCATTTCAAATCTTTAGGAAAAAGATGCATTAGCCAATAAACGGTGTTGGAATATACGGCTAGCCTTGTGGAGGAAAATGATGAATGTTGGTTCCTGCCTCACTTTTTACACTATAATAAATTCCAGATGAATGAAATTAAATGTACCAGATGACAACTTGAGGATTTTATTCATTTGTTTGCTTAATAACTTCTTACTGGGGAAGTATAATACAAAACCCAATGCCATAAGAGAAAAGATTGATGAATTTGACTTCATGACTATCAAACGTTTCTCCATGATTAAAAAAAAAAAAATCAGCTTAGGCTGGGCATGGTGGCTCACACCTGTAATTACAGCACTTTTGGAGACAGGCGGGGGGATGGCTTGAAGCCCAGGAGTTAAGGCTGTTGTGTGCTATGACCGCCCCTGTGAATAGCTGCTGCACTCTAGTCTGGGCAACATAGCGAGACTCCATCTCTAAAAAATAAAAAAGAAAGAAAGATATAAAGCCACATATGCAATGTGCTATGTTTCAATTTGTGTAAAAAATAGGAATGTATGCACATGCTTGCACATCGCATTGAGTAATTCTGGAAAGATTTACAAGGAACTTGCAAGAACAGCAGACTCTAGCAAGGCTAACTGGAGGACTACAGGGAGGAGGAAACTTTCGTCCTTTTTTTCTCTTTTTAAAATAGACTTTATTTTTTACTGCTGTTTTAAGTTTACGAATAAACTGCACAAAGTACAGAGGGTTCCTCGTTCCCCCACTGCCCTCCCAGTTTCTCTTATTATTAACATTTTGCATTAGTTTGGTAAATTTGTTAAAATTGATGAACCAATATTGATAGATTATTATTACCTGAAGTACAGTTTACATTAGAGTTTGGTCCCTGTAGCACATTCCACAATGAGGTGTATCCACCATTACAGTATCATAGGAAATGATTTCACCCTCCTAAAAATCCTCTGTGCTCCACCTATTTATTCATCCCTCTCTGTCCCCAAAACCCTGGCAAACACTGGTCTTTTTACTGTTTCTGTAGGTTTTCCTTTACCAGAATGTCTTATCGTTGAAATTATTTTTTACTTCCTTTTGAAATGCTTGAGTTTTTTTGTTTGTTTTGGTTTGGTTTTTGAGACGGAGTCTCGCTCCGTCACCCAGGCTGGAGTGCCGTGGGGCGATCTCACTGCAAGCTCACTGCAAGCTCCGCCTCCCGGGTTCACGCCATTCCCCTTCCTCAGCCTCCTGAGTAGCTGGGACTACAGGCGCCCGCCACCATGCCTGGCTAATTTTTTTGTATCTTTTAGTAGAGACGGGGTTTCACCATGTTAGCCATGTGGTCTCGATCTCCTGACCTTGTGATCCGCCCGCCTCAGCCTCTCAAAGTGCTGGGATTACAGGCGTGAGCCACCGCGCCCGGCCGAGTTTTTTTGTTTTTTGTTTTTAACATGTGTGTATGTTAATTTAATAAAAATTAATTTTTATTTTCATCAAAGGAATACATGCTCACGTTTGCATGTCTGAAAATATCTTTATTCTACCTTATGTTTAAATTATAGCCTTTGTTGGGTGTGGGGGCTCACGCTTATAATCCCAGCATTTTGGGAGGCTGAGGCGAGTGGATCACTTAAGCTCAGCAGTTCAAGACCAGCCTGGCCAACATCATGAAACCCCGTCTCTACTAAAAATACAAAAATTAGCCAGGCATGGTGGCGCACACCTGTAATCCCAGATACTTGGGAGGCTGAGGCAGGAGACTCGCTTGAACCTGGGAGGCAGATGTTGCAGTGAGCTGAGATTGTGCCACACTTCACTCCAGCCTGGGTGACAGGGTGAAACTCCGTCTCGAAAAAAAAATACATACATACATATATATATATGTATCCTTCGTGGGTAAGATTCTAGGTTGAAAAATCATCTTCCCTTGGGATTTTGCCAGCTGTACTGTCTTCCAGCATCTGGGGCTTCTGGAGGGAAGTCAGGTGTTCTGATTCCTGGCCCTTTGATTGGAAGGGGCCTGTCTGTACATTGTCCCATGCTGTTCCTCATCTCAGCAACCGTGGGCTTCCTCAGTTTGCACTCTCCTGCTCCCTAGCTCCAGGATGTATTTCCATGTTATTTCATTGACAGTTTCTCAGTTAGCACTTTCATGTTCTCTAGCTGGAGGATATGTCTTTATGTTATTTCATTGACAATCTCCTTCTCTCCATTTTCTCTTTCTAGAATTCTTTTTTTTTTCTTTTTTGAGAGGGAGTCTTTCTCTGGTGCCCAGGCTGGAGTGCAGTGACGCGATCTTGGCTCACTGAAAGCTCCGCCTCGTGGGTTCAAGTGATTCTTGTGCCTCAGCCTCTCAAGTAGCTGGGATTACAGGCCTGCGCCACCATGCCTGGCTAATTTTTGTATTTTTAGTAGAGATGGGGTTTCACTGTGTTGGCCAGGCTGGTCTCGAACTCCTGACCTCAGGTGATCCACACGTCTCGGCCTCCCAAAGGGCTGGGATTACAGGCGTGAGCCACTGCGCCTGGCCTAGCTCTTTCCGTTTTAGGAGCTTATTCCTAGTTTTAAAATACCATCGTATAAATATAGGATTTCTTTTTTAAAGTTCCATTCATCTCCTTATTTCAGCTGTGGTTTTGGTCTCTCACGTTGGAATCATTCCTAAAAAGCCTGATTGAAAGCTTCATAGGAAGGTGGGGCCCTGTTAATTGGTGGGCTGTGTTGCAGGGTGATCATGCAGCGAGGCTGATTTTTTGTTTATTTAAATGATCCCAAATGTCAGTATTACCTGCATGTCCTTTCTCTGGGCCTGTACAGTCTTTCCAAAAAAGAATCCTCAGAGCTTTTGTCACCACCAGGCTGTTTGTGTTCTGGAGGCCAAGTGGGGTCAGGAGGCTGAGAGCCACCATTTAGCACAGAGACTTTGACTTTACCTCCCCCTATGACCCTTTCGCCCTTACCTGTTCCGTTCCTGCAGAGTACACTCTGGCCTCCTGCAGTGGTGGAGCATTTGAGGGGGCATTCTCCAGTGTCCCCAGCTTCATCCGTCTCTCCTGCACCTTGTGTCTCTTGGTTCAGAGCCTTTTCAGGGTTCAATCAATTCAATTCTCTTACCCCCTGCCGCACCCCACTGCAGGGACTCTGCTCTGCTCAGTCTGTTACCACCATTGCTTCCCCACCATCTTTCTCCTTGTGAATTTATATGTTTTTATTCCTTTGCTATTGTCTTAATGGGGTTTTAGGAGAGTTAAAAGAAAAACTCGGCCAGGCACCATGGCTCGCACTGCAATCCCAACACTGTGGGAGTCCGAGGCCGGAGACCACTCTGGGCGACATAGTGAGACCCCATCTCTACAAATAATTTTTCAGGCTGGGCACGGTGGCTCACACCTGTAATCCCAGCACTTTGGGAGGCCAAGGCGGGCGGATCACGAGGTCAGGAGTTCAAGACCAGCCTGGCCAACATGATGAAACCCTGTCTCTACTAAAAGTAAAAAAAAATTAGCCTGGTGTGGTGGCACGTGCCTCAGGAGGCTGAGGCAGGAGAATCGCTTGAACCCAAGGTGGAGGTTGCAGTGAGCCGAGACCGCACCAGTGCACTCCAGCCTGGGCGACAGAGCGAGACTCTGTCTCAAAACAAATTTTTTTTTTCAAAACTAGCTGAGCGTGGTGGCGCATGCTTGTAGTTGTAGCTACTCAGGAGGCTGAGGTGGGAGGATCACTTAAGGTCGGGAGATTGAGGCTGCAGTGAGCTGTGATTACACCACTGCACTTCAGCCTGGGCAGCAAAGCGAAACCCCATCTCAAAAAAAAAAAAAAAAAGAAAAAAAAAAGAAAAGAAAAGAAGGGAAGCCTTAGATAAATTAAATTTAACAGAGCTAACTGAGCAAAGAACAATTTGTGAATCCAGTGGCCCCTGAACCAGAAGAATAGGTTCAGAGAGACTGGAGCTGCCATGTGGCCAAAGAAGATTTATGGACAGAAAAAGGAAAGTGACAGAAAGAAAACAGAAGTGAGGCACAGAAGCAGCCAGATTGGTTGCAGCTTCGAGTTTGCCTCATGTGAACCTGGTTTGAACAGTTGGTTGCCTTTGATTGGCTGAAACTTGGTGTTTGGCACAAGAGTAGGTTATCGTTTGTTTACACATCCAGTTAGCTCACTGTTCACTAGGGAGGAGAAACCTTTAGGCCGAACTTAAAACACATAAGGAGGCAGCTTTGGGCTAAACTTAATGATTTTCCCTCTTTAGTCAACGTCTCAAAACTTTAGGCATCAATGTCACCCTGTCATCATCATAAATGTACTTATTTGGTCCCAAATCCTACTGGGAAATAGTAGAACAGTGGGTTTTCTAAGGTGGGTAAAGGTGAGAGTATAGGGGACCTCCTTGTGCTGGAATCTCCTGTTTACAATAGAAAAACAAAACCTGGTCTGTCTTAGGAACTATCTGCTTCCTTGAAGTTTCAGTTTGATTATGTCACATTTATCATGAATGACTCCATTTTGATGTGGTCTGTTGAGGCCTAGTGCACAAGCTGAGTCCACCATGGCAAATGCGACAGGAGTGGGTGGGGATAAACATATGTATCTAATCCACCATGTTTAACTAGAATCTATGAGTTACTTAGAAAGACAAATTACTACATTTATGTATATATATACATGCACACACACAATTTTTGGGGAGAGGACATAATTTAGCCCATAACTATATCCTTCCCAAATTCATATGTTCAAACCCAGCTATGGTCTGTGTCCTCTAAAGTTCATGTGTTGGAAATTTAATTTCCAATGCAACTGCGTTGGGAGTTAGGGCCTAATGGGAGGTGTTTAGGTCATAAGGACTCTGCCCTGATGAATGGATGAACACTGCTATAAACAGGGCTTGTGGCTCACACCTATAATCCCAGCACTTTGGGAGGCCAAGGCGGGAGTATTACTTGAAACCAGGAGTTCGAGACCAGTCTCAGCAACATAGTTAAGACCTCCATCTCTGAAAAAAAAAAAGCTTAGCTGGGCATAGTGGTGCATGCTACTTGGGAGGCTGAGGCAGGAGGATCCCAGCCCATGAGTTGGAGGCTACAGTGAGCTATGAGTGCACCACTGCAACCCAGCCTATGATTGCACCACTGTACCCCAGGGCAAGGCAAGTGAGACCCTGTCTCAAAAAAAAAAACAACAAAAACAAAACAACCAACAAAAAAACTACCACTAGATGGAGATGCCGAGCACAACCCATGTCCGTTGCTCTTTAAACTTAGGGGGTTCTATAGTTTTTCAAGTAACAATGCTGTGGAATTATTTTTCTTACCTACTTCCATCATCCCGTGTTGATTTGTGGTTTCATCCTCAGAACTTCTTGGCTGGTACTGAGTTATCAGGATTGATTCGCATTAGTGTCACTAAAGTTGGTATACAATCTTCCACTGCTAAATTTGACTGCCTTTAAAAAATATTAAAAAGTAAAAAGAACTTCTAATTTCATTCTAACCAGAAATCATGCCAATTTGTTGCACTGGTTTTATATGCCATGTGCCTATTTGTTAGAACCGTAAACCAGCTCAGGTCATAGAAAATGAGTGGAATCTTAGCCAGTGGAAGGCACTTAGGGTAGTTTAGATGCTGTGAAATTAAATGTTTTTCAAGTGTTCTTTTTAATATTAATTTCAATGTATTTTGAATATATCAATAATATATTGTATATTATCATATTACACATAATATAGTATATTTAATAATATACTAAGATTTAGTATATTAAAATTTAATTTAGTATATTATTTATAGAATGTAGTAATTTAATAGAACATTATGTAGTAAACATGTGACATTGTTTTAATTGCTAATAATTTCCAAAGATAAACCTTCTTAAATCCCGTTAAGAGGATATTCTCTTCTCCTGTTTTAAGAAAGTGAAGGCAACCCAGTTAGGAGGCATCTGGGACTTTCCTGGCCAACTCTGAAGACATCAAGTTGAACCATGACCCGGATTCGGTCTTGGAAGCAGATGAGAGGGTAAAGAGTTGAAGCCAGGTCTACACTCTGATTCCTCCAAGTCACCGAGTGGTTTCATGTGAAAGGGGTCTGGGCAGGAGTGAGCCGAGGTTAGCGGTGGTATTTCAGTGATTTGGCAAATGTGCACAGATGGCTCATAAACCGCCCCCCCACATGCCACCGACAGGAAACTACCACTTGACAACACGCCTGCTTCTGCCGCATCACAGACTTAGCAGAGTCTGTTCAGAATCTCCTTGCATTTCCAAATGAAGCTTGGATGTTAGCAGATGTTAAACCCAAGAACAGGTACACCTGGGCTCTAAATTCATCTTCTGACTGAAGTTGAAGATAAAACCTGATACCAGTTTGGAGTAGAAAGAGACACAGTATTGTAATCATAAATGACATTTGACCTTAAAACAGTAACACAGCAAATTTCTAATTAAAGTGGAGCATGTCCTGTCTTGACTGAGGCACCAAGACGATTTGTTGCAGATTGTTGCTGGCAGTGTGCAGTCCCCAAGACCAAATCACCAAGAGGCACAGTGGTAAGAGTGGTCAGCAAGGAGCGGAGCGCCTTCCTCCCACCAGCAGGTGACTCACCACATCGTGTCCTCCTTGGCGTAAGAGGCGCCCTAAAGGTTTCTCCGTTCCAGTTATCCTAACTGGAATACTGTTCCTGAAAAAAGCGTATATTTAAGGCCCTGCTAGCTATAAGCAATCCTTCAAGGAAGAGAATTATAAACAACCTTTCTTCCAAGTTTTTGTTCTTTGCCTCACTTATATGCCGATTTAAATCGTTCTCTAAGAAAAGGTGGTATTTCCTCTCACTGCAGGTTCTACCAGACTCTCATCACCTGCTTGCCAAGCAGCAGCCAAGGGAAAACAGTTTGAAATTTACTGCTAACAATTGGTTCACATACATACCGGGTACGGGGGACTCTTGCCTGTAGTCCCAGCTACTCAGGAGGCTGAGGCTGGAGGAATGCTTGAGTCCAGGAGTTCAAGTCCAGCCCAGGTAACATTGTGAGACGCTGTCTCTTAAAAAAAAAAAAAAAAAAAATTGGTTCACCCTGCTGTATAATGCATTGGCAATTCAGTGTGGTCTAATCAAATTAGCTTAACCATGGGATTGCGCTTAGATTTGCTCATTCATTTTAACCATAAACACTTACTGAATGTGTACCATGGGACAGACACCTTTCTAGAGACTGGCTATATTGTGGTGAAAATACACCATGGGACAGACACCTTTCTAGAGACTGGCTATATTGTGGTGAAAATACAGGCCAAATCCCTGCCTTCGTGTGGCTTCTATTGTGGTGGGAACTAGACAAAAACTGTCCAAGTGAATAAATGAATCAGTAATTTCAGGTAGGTGAGAATGCTATGAACAATATAGCTGAGTAGGGGCTAGAAGGTGATGGGGTAGGCGAAGGGGCTTCGTAGGCTCAAAAAAGGGCCCCAAAGAGCCCCAAAGATATCCAGGTCCTAATCTCTGGAACCTGTGAATTATGACCCTGCATGGCAAAAGGCACTTTGCACATGTGATTAAGCTAAGAATTTTGAGGTGTGGATATTACGGTGGGGAAATACAATTAAAAACAAAATGTCCTGTTGACCCAGAAAACCTCTCCACAAGAATAGAAGAGATATAAAGGCTTTATTCTTGAATAACCATTAAACCAGAGTGAGATGCACATTACAGGAAACCCACTAAGAGACGGCAAAGACAAAAAGAAACTTCACTCTTTTATACAGCCACCCACCACACACACACACGCAACCCACCACACACACAATCCACCATACACACATACCACACACACACCCCACCACACACAAACCCACCACACACACAACCCACCACACATACCACACACACAAATCCACCATACACACATACCACACACACACACCCCACCACACACAAACCCACCACACACACAGAATCCACTATACACACACAAAATCCACTACACACACACAGTCCACCACGCACACAACCCACCATACACACACACCACACACACACAAAATCCACCACACACACAACCCACCACACACACAAAATCCACCCCACCACACACACACAATCCGCCAAACACACACACAATCCACCATACACACACAACCCACCACACACACACCACACACACAATCTACCATACACACATACCACACACACACACCCCACCACATACAAACCCACCACACACACAGAATCCACTACACACACACAGTCCACCACGCACACAACCCACCATACACACACACCACACACACACAAAATCCACCACACACACACAACCCACCACACACACACAATCCACCACACACACACAACCCACCACACACACACAAAATCCACCACACACACACAACCCACCACACAATCCACCACACACACACAATCCACCATACACACGCAATCCATCACACACACACAACCCACCACACACACAATCCACCATACACACACACCACACACACACAACCCACCACACACACAACCCACCACACACACACAAAATCCACCACACACACAATCCACCACACACAACCCATCACACACACAACCCACCACACACAAACCCACCACAAACACACAGAATCCACCACACACACACAACCCACCACACACAAACCCATCACACACACACACCACACACAATCCACCACACACACAAACACCACACACAATCCATCACACACACAAACACCACACTCACAACCCACCACACACACACAAACACACACACAACCCACCACACACACTCCACACACACACAACCCACCACACACACAACCCACTACACACAAACACCACACACACACACAGCCCACCACACACACAAACACCACACACACACAAAAATAAGTGACTCATCCTCAGTGAGCAGACTGGACAATGCCATTTGTCACACTTAGTTCATTCTAAATTCACTTGGTAATTGGGATAACCACTTGTGTTTGCTAATTGCCTTTATCCAAAGGAAAAATAAACTCATATCTTATGATAGAGTATAAGATTACAATTTAGAGCCAAAGTTAGGAGACTAACCCTCTCCCTCCCATGGAGACTGGGAGATAGGGACACTGTCTTCCTTGATGTTTACATTTCATATACATACACACACACATACACATATATGTGTATGTATACATTTCAGAGACAGGGTCATATTCTGTTGCTTAGGCTAGAGTGTAGTGACATAGTTATGGCTCTCTGTAACCTCAAACTCCTGGGCTTAAGCGATCCTCCCACCTAAGTCTCCTGAGTAGCTGGGATTATAGGGGTGCACCACCATGCCTAGTTACTTTTTTTATTTTTATTTTTTGTAGAGACGAAGTCTCACTGTGTTGCCCAGGCTGGTCTTGACCTCCTGGCTTTAAGCAATCCTCCCATCTCAGCCTCTCAAAGTACTGGGATTATTGATGTTTGCATTTCAAAGAGCTAGCTCTCAGGTCCTTGGAGAAAAACAGTTCTGAGTTGTAAAGCTGCCAAATGGTTTTTTCTTCGCTTTTAAAAATATTTATGTAATCTCTGCCCAGTGTGGTGGCTCACGCCTATAATCCCAGCACTTTGGGAGGTCAAGGCAGGAGGATCACTTGAAGCCAGGAGTTTGAGACCATCCTAGGCAACATAACGAGACCTTGTGTCTACAAAAATTTTTTAAAAAATTAGGCAGGTGTGGTGGTGCATGCTTGTAGTCCCAGCCACTCGGGAGGCTGAAGCAGAAGAACCACTTGAACCCAGGAGTTTGAGGCTGCAGTGAGCATCACTGTACTCCCGTATGGGTGACAGAGTAAGACTCTGCCTCTAAAAAATAATAAAAATATAAAATAAAATAAAATAAAATAAAAGATTTGCATATATCTCACATGGGCAGAGGAAAATTCACAATCACAAGCTTTCTAATGCAAATGTGCTGAGAAAAGGGGGTGTTGGTGAGGAGCATCTCTGCCTTTTTTCACCAGGGAGAAAGAAAACTTATTTTTATTCTTTTTGATTTGTATTTGCTTTTACAATTCTCCTGGCTATCTGGGTAATTACATGTGTCTTTGTGTTGGCGGGGGTACAGGGGGAGATTCAGCTGCAGCACAGGCCGGCAAAGTGACAAGTGTAGCAAGATGCTGCGCTGAGGGCTTGGGAGACAGAGGGAGGGGCCTCGAGCCCAAGAATGCCTGGGAAGCAGCTCTTCCAGCCAGAAAAGGCAAGGAAGGATTCTCCCCTAGAGACTTTGGAGGGAGTGGGGCCCTGCCGACACCTTGACTTTGGCCCAGTGAAACATTCTGGGCTTCTGACTTCCAGCCGTGTAAGATAATAAATGCCAGTTATTTCAGGCCGAGCTGGTGGTCATTTGTTAGAGCAGTCCTAGGAATCTCATCTAGGTGTGAAGCTATTTTAGAGGGGTTTGTTGGGAAGCGTGTTTTGAGGCGAGGAGACTTCAGCCAAAATCTGAATACAGTGAAGAACGGAAGTCCATGCGGACCTGGAGGAGGATCGTCTAGGCAACTCCAAAGGCCCTAAGGTGGAAATGAGTGGCGGCTGCTGGGGCAGTGTCTGGCAGGCGCATGGAGGTCTGCAGGAACCCTGCAGGCCATGGCCGCGGGTTGGATGTCAGTCCAAATGTTAGCAGGAGGCGTCGGAGTTCCCTAGCAAGGGAGCTGCTTGATCTGATTCATGTTTAAAGGGCCAAGCTGGTTAAGTGGAGACAGGACTTTATGGGGCCAGAGCGGAGGCAGGAGGAGTGGCTGGCCACTGCTGCAGAGTCCTGGTGAGGGAGACTATGGTGCAGGGGTGGGGGATAAGGGTGGGAAGCAGGCCTCACCGTTATGGGGCACACGCATGTACCAGTTTCCTCTGCAGGAAATCTGAGCCATCTACCTGATACTCATTTTACCAGCTGGATTCTTTTTTCTTTTAGCAAGAGACTCTGGGAACTAGATATGCGGCAGGAAAGCATCTTGTGTGGTGGAATTTGGGGACTGACATTTGATCTCAGCCCAGGGCTACTCTTACAGCGTGCGTCCCTGTCGTGCATTATACATGTTTTCATGCACTTAAAGATATTTTTAGAACTGCAGAAGTAGAAGCACTTTGATCTTTTCCTGAATAATTTTCACATGACTTAGCAGGCCTCCTTCCACCTGAGATGGGAAACCTTGGAAAGTGAGGGGGCCTTCTTCAGTGTGTGCCACTGTAGGGGTTTTTCCTCAGCCCCCCTAGATTTGTGGTTGGAACGGACTCCTGTTACAAAAGACAGATTAACAAGAGAAAAACCAGTGGAAGTTTATTAACATGTGTATTTCACATCTGCCTGGGAGACACGCAGGAATTGAGTAGTTCTCAAAGTGGTAGCTTTGAATTCCAGCTTGTATAGCATCTTCAACAAAGAAAAGCCAAGTTTTAGGGAAGCGACAGGACAAAGGAAAAGAACTTTGAGTGTCTAAGGGGAGAACTTGTAGAAAGGTAAGTAACTGGCAGATAAATAGAGTTAGTAAAGCGCCTTCATGTCCATTCCTCTGGTTCCAGCTCCAGGCCCATAAGAGTCTAAAGTTGTCTTCAGTGGTTAACTTTTCCCTGGTCGAGAGAGGGAGCAGACCCCTTTTATCCTTCTAAATCTATATCCTGCATTTAGGCAGTGGAGGGCAGAGAGCTTTCTTCCATTTACTTTTTCACTGCCTTCAAGCTCAACAACCCTTCATCTTTCGGGGCCTCCCCAACTGCGTTCTCTTGGTGCTCTCCAGCTGGGAAGGCTCAAAGGATGGGAAGTGTGTACAGCACGTACCTGTGACTGCTACCAGAGATTTGCCCCTCCTCAGGGTCAGTGAGGGATGTGCTTTCTGCTTCCTCCCCAGACTGCAAACCCCTGGAAATTAGCTGCGTGAGAGTCTTGCATATTTGCCGTAGGGATGCGGCAGGAGGTAACGGAGATGATAGTCAAGGGAAGGTTCATTAGAGCAAATTGATCCTCAGTCTCCTCCAGCTTTCCACAGTCATCCATCCAGAAATTATCAACAAGCGCTTGTTTTTATTTTGTAGTAGGTACCAAACCAAGAGTTATTTCCGTAGTTAAATAAGCGTTAAAAGTCTTCTCAGCACCCTCTCACATTGTGGGAAAACTGCACAGACCACCTCTGCCTGACTCATGATGAGGCCGGGCACCTGGCACAGTGGCAGATGGTGGGCACTGATTAAATATTTGTTGGATGTATGAGCAAGTCCTGTGGGGGGAGCTGGAACTGTATGTCTGCAAGAAGTGGGTGCAGTTTTCCCTCTTCCAGATACAGGGCCACTTCTGAACAATACTTGGGTGTCTTCACAGAGGATTTCTGGAGACACTGTTCCTGTCACCCCCTGGCATGCCAGCCCACTTTGCATCTAATCTGATAATGGGAGCCAGGCACTGTTGGAGGGGAAAATTGATCCTCCCAGGGGCCCTATCAATATTCGCTGTCCAGTGGGCCCCTTCCTGTCCAGCCCTTTCTCCGGCTAGCTTGTCAAAAGCTGAGACCGTCTCCACTGGGCTAGGCCATTGGGCCATTTGGCTGGTTGCTGGGCCATCCTCCAAGACATTTTGAAGGGTGAAGTCTCAAATACCAAGGCCTTAAGCTTCCAGCTGGCATAAAGGCTCAGGAATCCCTTCGCAACTCCTTTGCCACTCATTTTCTTTCTGCAGAGTGAAGGCACAGTCATACTTAGTTTCCTCTGGCGATGCTAAAGAGGAAGTTACAGCAGGTGGTTAACTCCTGACTGGGAGAAGAGACATTTCCTCTAATGGAGGCTGGGGAGAGAGAAAGAAGGTTAGGGCCTTGTTTAATGAAGAACCTTTCTGCTATGAAAGACGGATTACAGACAAGGAGAAGATACTTTGTGAGTCTATGAAGGAATTCTGCTTCGCAGGCTCTTGCAGGAACGTAGGGATCAAGTGGAATTTTAGGAATGGAGAAGCATTAGATGTCCAAACTCACTCGTTAACCCTGGGGGATCCCACGCTTACCCTGTGCCCAGGCCAGCACACATGCAACTTTAGTGGTTAACATTGAGGACACAGGGGCACTGCTTGGGTTCAAATCAGCCACTATCCCGCTGAGTGGCCTTGAGTAAGTTCCTGAACATTTCAGAGTCTCGGTTGTTACATTTGTAAAATAAGGACCAGAAGAGTATTGCATAGGGTTGTTGAGTGGATTAAATGAGATATGTATGTGAGGAGTTTATCACCATGCCTGACACAAAGTAAAGCCTCCCAAAATGTTAACTAATAAATTACTAAGTATTTAGGTAAAAACTGGAGCATCTTCTTATTGTACTGTTGGTAGAAAAATTCATTCTTCCGTAACTACTAAACTTGGCCTATATTCCACAATATGCTATAACCATATTTTCAGAACCCCCAAACTATATGATATGACAAAGACTTTTTTCATATTTGTGAATTTTATTTTATAAAGTATAAAAGTTGGGCTGGGTGCGGTAGCTCACACCTGTAATCCCAGCACTTTGGGAGGCCAAGGTGGGCCGATCACCTGAGGTCAGGAGTTCAGGAGTTCAAGACTAGCCTGGCTAACATGGCAAAACCCCATCTCTACTAAAAATACAAAAATTAGCCAGGTGTAGTGGTGCGTGCCTGTAATCCCAGCTACTAGGGAGGCTGAGGCAGGAGAATCACTTGAACCTGGGAGGCGGAGGTTGCACTGAGCTGATATTGCACCATTGCACTCCAACCTGGGTGACAGAGCTAGACACTGTCTCAAAAAAAAAAAAAAAGTATAAAAGTTAAGTAGTTAATGTACAGATTAGTCAACTTGACTGGGACAGGTAAAATAAGACCTGAATGAATGGAGTGGAGAGAATGAATCTTAAAGACAATCACGTTTTTAAAACATTGACAAGAAATTCTAAAGTTCATTTTGTTACAAAACTGAACTGGGGTCTACTTGCCCGGCGCAGTAAGAGGAAACACCAACACTGAGGTTGTGCATCCGGAGAAAGGAGCACATTTATTTGCAGGGCACCAAGCGAGGAGAAGTGGGTCATACTTAAGATACAACCTCTTCGATGGTTTACAAGCAAGGTTTTTTTTTTCCCCCAGTCGGAGTCTAGCTCTGCCGCCCAGACTTGAGTACAGTGGCATGATCTTGGCTCACTGCAACCTCCGCCTCCTGGGTTCAAGTGATTCTCCTGCCTCAGCCTCCCGAGTAGCTGGGATTACAGGCTCCTGCCACCACGTCCAGCTAATTTTTGTATTTTTAGTAGAGACGAGGTTTCACTGTGTTGGCCAGGCTGGTCTTGAACTCCTGACTTTGTGATCCGCCCACCTCGGCCTCCCAAAGTGCTGGGATTACAAGCATGAGCCACTGGGCCCGGCCACAAGCAAGTGTTTTTAAAAGCAGGGGTAAATTTCAGGAAAGGAGAAGTTATGGGCAAAATCGTGAATTGATACATGGAGGTTATGCACTGGTTTAGCCTCAAAGGGCAGGGTATTTTGAAGGAGGAGCCTTAAAGGTCATACATGAATTCAAAGACTCTGATTTGTGATAAGTTAAGGAAGCAAAGCTTTGCCTAAAACCTTGGGGTTAGCAGAAAGGAATGTTCAGGTCTGGTCCAACTTCCATCAGGATCCTCAGGAAGAAATTTAGAACAAAGAACAGCAGAGCTTAGTCCTCAGTTCCCTCTTGTCTGAGGTCTGCAGGCCAGGGCATCCACTTGGGAGGGGGGCCCAGGTTTCTGAAGAGCAACTCAGGGACATATATTAAGATGTTATCTTTAGTTTCTATAGGGAACCAAACATTTTGTGACTGTAACTTCCTTGTTTTAAGCTACAGTTACCTTCTTGTTTATTAGGTTGCTAGCTGGGTGCCTGGAATTTCCCTTGAAGGAATTCAAGATTTTCCTTTATTTCCATGCTTGCCCCCTCCCCACTTCCTGCAGGCCTGTAAGAGGGGTGCCGGCTCCATGTCAGTTTGGAAGAATAAATGAAGTGATTCTAGCCAAGAAGTTATGAAGAATAAAAAAACCCAGAATCTTTGTGTAGGGGAAGTACTTAAACTACCAGCTACCAAAACTTATTTTCTGTGATAAAACTGCAGACATTCAATGTAGTTTTAGGTTGCGGGTAGCCTCTCTAAACATAACTCTAAAGGCAGAAACCATAAAGGAAGACTGCTAAGTTTTGGCACATTAAAACAAAACTTTCTCGCCGGGCACGGTGGCTCATGCCTGTAATCCCAGCACTTTGGGAGGCCAAGGCGGGCAGATCACGAGGTCAGGGGATCGAGACCATCCTGGCTAACACAGTGAAACCCCGTCTCTACTAAAAATACAAAAAAATAGCTGGGCGTGGTGGCGGGCACTTGTAGTCCCAGCTGCTCGGGAGGCTGAGGCAGGAGAATGGCGAGAACCTATGAGACGGAGCTTGCAGTGAACCGAGATCACACCTCCCTCTACACTCCAGCCTGGGAGACAAGCCAGACTCCATCTCAAAATAAATAAATAAATAAATAAATAAATAAATAAATAAATAATAAAATAAAAATAAAACAAAACTTTCTTATGCTCGCTTCAGCAGCACATAGACTAAAGCAAAACTTTCTCACATCAACAACTGAAAAGGTAGGCCGGATGCAGTGGTTCACATCTGTAATCCCAACACTTTGGGAGGCTGGGGCGGGAGGATCGTTTGAGACCAGCCTGGGCAACACAGTGAGACCCCATCTCTACAGAAGAAAAACATTAAAATAAAATAATTAGCTGGATGTGGTGATGTGATCCTGTAGTCCCAGCTACTCAGAGGCCGAGGTGGGAGGATTGCTTGAGCTCAGGAAGTCCTGGCTTCAGTGAGCCATGATAGTGCTACTGCACTCCAGCTCTGGTGACAGAGTGAAACCCTGTCTCAAAAAAAAAAAAAAAAAAAGTTAACAAGTACGAGGAAACACGTCTGCAACAAACATGACAAGTCTTTAATACCTGTACTTTATGAGTGCCCCCCAAACAATAAACCAACTCCCCAACTTTTAAAATGGGCAAATAGAAAAGTGGGCAAATGGACATAAACAAATTCACAAGAGAAAATAAAAC